>NC_000011.10:55737195-56040225 GCF_000001405.40 Homo sapiens | reverse complement strand
CAGGAGATAAAATTTTCACTCACGGCAAACTTAGCAGATTTGAGGCTCAGTATCTGCGTCTAAAGCCGGGAGTTAGAATCCCTGAGTTCATTATTTTATTTCATCATTTTGTCCAGTGAACTTAGGAGCAACCAGCAAACTTCATGATATTATTTGGTCCTCCACAAATAGTCAAAGGTATTATGTACAGGGTTACTAAACTCCTTGCCTCTCACGTCAGGATTGGTGAATCAAGAGTGTCAAATGCATTTATATTGCATAACTCTCTGAACAGTTCACTCCAAGGACTGTAAGTGTTCTCCTTACTATTAGCAGTAGAGTCCTTGGCATTTTTGGGTCAATTCTATTAAGCAGCCAACTACAGAAACCCCCAAACCAACGAAAGAACTCCATCCTTATTATTCGGTTCCTCTAGAACCACTCCTGGTACCAAAATCTGTATTACTCAGGGTTCTCCAGAGGGACAGAATTAATAGGATATATATACATACACACAAACACACACACAAACACACACACACGTATATATACGTATGTACGTATATACGTGTATACGTGTGTGTGTGTGTATATATATATATATATATATATATATATATGGAGTTTATTAAGGCGTATTAACTCACACAATCATTAGGTCAAACAATAGGCCATCTGCAAGCTGAGGAACAAGGAAGCCAGTCCAAGTCCCACAGCTGAAGAACCTGGAATCTGATGTTCAAGGGCAGGAAGCATCCAGCACGGGAAAAAGACGTGGGCTGAAAGGCTAAGCCAGTCTAGCCTCTTCATGTTTTTCTGCCTACTTTATATCCTGGCTGCATTGGCAGTTGAGTAGAAGATGCCCACCTAGATTAAGGGTGGGTCTGCCTTTCGTAGCCCACTGGCTCAAATGTTAGACTCCTTTGCAACACTCTCACAGGCACACCCAGGATCAATACTTTGCATCCTTCAATCCAGTCAAGTTGACACTCAGTATTAACCATCACACCTGTCTTCAAAGTTTCAAAGGACTGGCTGACTCTCTGGTTAGGGGCTAATGGAGCTGGTGATATTAAGTTAAAATTAATGCTTGTTTACAAATCAAAAAGTCCTAAGACCCTTAAGAATTATGCTAAATCTACTCTGCCTTTGCTCTATACATGGAACAACAAAATTTGGATGACAGCACATCTATTAACAGCATGGTTTATTGAGCATTTTAAGCCCACTGGTGAGATCCGCTCAGAAAAAAAATTCTTTGAAAATATAACTGATCATTAACAATGTACCTGGTCACCCAACAGCTCTGAAGGAGATGCACAATGAGATTGATGTTTTTTTCATGCTTGCTAACACGATATCCATTTTGCAGTCCATTAGCCAAAAAGTAATTTTAACTTTCATTATGTAAGAAACGTATTTTGTAAGACTAAAGCTGCTATAAATAATGATTCCTCTGATGAATCTGGGTAAAGTAATTAGAAAACCTCCCAGAAAGGATTCATCATTCCTGATGCCATTAAAACATTCTTCATTTATGGAAGGAGGTAAAAATATCAACATGAATAAAAGTTTGAAAGAAGTTGATTCCAAACCCTCTTGGATGGCTTGAAGCATTCAAGAGTGTAGTAAACACCTGCAGATATGGTGGCTATATCAAAATAACTGGAATTAGAAGTGGAGCCTGAAGATGTGACTAGATATCCAGAATCACTTTCATAAAACTTGAATAAATGAGAACTTGTTTTTTATGGATTAGCAAAGAAAGTGGTTTCTTGAGATTAAATCTACTCCTGATGAAGATATTGTGAAGATCATTGAAATGACCACAAATATTTTAGAGAGTACATAAATGTAGTTAATAAAGCAGTGGCAAGTTTGAAAGGATTGATTTTAATTTTGAAAGAAGTTCTACTGTGAGTAAAAAGCTATCAAACAGCATTACATGCTTCAGATAAATCTTCATCAAAAGAAGAGTCAATCTACATGACAAACTTTACTATTTTATTATTTTTAGAAAATGCCACAGCCACACATCACTGTGATCAGACAGAAGCCATCAATAGCAAGGCAAGTGCATGGTTCAGCGTGTTGATGGTTTTATGTTTAAGTCTTTAATCCATCTTGAGTTAATTTTTGTATAAGATATAAGGAAGGGGTCCAGTTTCTGCTTTCTGCATATGGCTAGCCAGTTTTCCCAACACCATTTATTAAATAGGGAATCCTTTCCTCATTGCTTGTTTTTGTCAGGTTTGTCAAAGATCAGATGGTTGTAGATGTGTGGTGTTATTTGTGAGGCCTCTATTCTGTTCCATTGGTCTATATATCTGCTTTGGTACCAGGACCATACTGTTTTTATTACTGTAGCCTTGTAGTATAGTTTGAAGCCAGGTAGCATGATGCCTCCAGCTTTGTTCTTTTTGCTTAGGATTGCCTGGGCTACATGGGCTGTTTTCTGGTTCCACATGAAATTTAAAGTAGTTTTTTTTTTTTTCTAATTCTGTGAAGAAATTCAATGATAGCTTGACGGGGATAGTATTGAATCTAAAAATTACTTAGGGCAGTAGATGGCCATTTTCATGATATTGATTCTTCATATCCATGAGCATGGAATGTTTTTCCATTTGTTTGTGTCCTCTCTTATTTCCTTGAGCACTAATTTGTAGTTCTCCTTGAAGAGGTCATTCATATCCCTCGTAAGTTGTATTTCTAGGTATTTTACACTCTTTTGTAGCAATTGTGAATGGCAGTTCATTCGATTTGGCTCTGTTTGTCTGTTATTGGTGTATAGGAATGCTTGTGATTTTTGCACATTGATTTTGTATCCTGACATTTTGCTGAAGTTGCTTATCAGCTTAAGGAGATTTTGGCCTGAGACGATGGGGTTTTCTAAATATACAATCATGTCATCTGCAAACAGAGACGATTTGACTTCCTCTTTTCCTATTTGAATATCCTTTATTTCTTTATCTTGCCTGATTGCCCTGGCCAGCACTTTCAATACTATGTTGAATAGGAGTGGTGAGAGAGGGCATCATTGTTTTGTGCCGGTTTTCAAAGGGAATGCGTCCAGTTTTTGCCCATTCAGTATGATATTGGCTGTGGGTTTGTCATAATAGCTCTTATTATTTGGAGATATGTTTGTCAATACCTAGTTTATTGAGAGTTTTTAGCACGAAGGGTGTTGAATTTTATCAAAGGCCTTTTCGGCATCTGTTGAGATAAACATGTGCTTTTGTCATTGGTTCTGTTTATGAGATGGGTTACGTTTATTGATTTGCGTATGTTAAGCCAGCCTTGCATCCCAGGGATAAAGCCAATTTGATTGGTGGATAAGCTTTTTGATGTGCCGCTGAATTCAGTTTGCCAGTATTTTTTGAGGATTTTTGCATCATGTTCATCAGGGATATTGGCCTGGCATGTTCTTTTTTTGCTGTGTCTCTGCCAGGTTTTCATATCAGGATGATGCTGGCCGCATAAAATGAGTTAGGGAGGAGCCTCTCGTTTTCTATTGCTTGGAATAGTTTCAGAAGGAATAGTACCAGCTCCTCTTTGTATGTCTGGTAGAATTTGGCTGGTCCTGGACTATTTTTTGTTGGTAGGCTATTAATTACTGCCTCAATTTTGGGACTTGTTTTTGGTCTATTCATGGATTTGACTTCTTCCTGGATTAGACTTGGGAGGGTGTGTGTTTCCAGGAATTTAACCATTTCTTCCAGGTTTTCTAGTTTATTTGTGTGGAGGTGTTTATAGTATTCTCTGATGGTAGTTTGTATTTCTGTGGGAACAGTGGTGATATCCCCTTTATAATTTTTTATTGTGTCTATTTGATTCTTCTCTCTTTTCTTCTTTATTAGTCTGGCTAGTGTTCTTTCTATTTTGTTGATCTTTTCCAAAAACCAACTCCTGGATTCATTGATTTTTTGAAGGGTTTTTCATGTCTCTATCTCCTTCAGTTCTGCTCTGATCTTAGTTATTTCTTGTCTTCTGAGGCTTTTGAATTTGTTTGTTCTTGTTTATCTAGTTCTTTTAATTGTGATGTTAGGGTGTTGATTTTAGATCTTTCCTGCTTTCTCTTGTGGGCCTTTAGTACTGTGAATTTTCCTCTAAACACTGCTTTAGCTATGTCCCAGAGATTCTGATACCTTGTGTCTTTGTTCTCATTGGTTTCAAATAACTTATTTATTTCTGCTTTATTTTCATTATTTACCCAGTAGTCATTCATGAGCAGGTTGTTCAGTTTCCATGTAGATGTGTGGTTTTGAGTGAGTTTCTTAATCCTGAGTTCTAATTTGATTGCACTGTGGTCTGAGAGACTGTTATGATTTCCATTGTTTTGCATTTGCTGAGGAGTATTTTACTTGCAATATTGTGGTCAATTTTAGAATAAATGCAATGTGGTGCTGAGAATAATGTATATTCTATTGATTTGGGGTGTAGAGTTCTGTAGAGGTCTATTAGGTCTGCTTGGTCCAGAGCTGAGTTCAAGTCCTGAATATCCTTGTTAATTTTCTGTCTTGGTCTGTCTAATGTTGACTGTGGGGTGTTAAAGTCTCCCACTATTTTTGTGTGTTAGTCTAAGTCTCTTCATAGATCTCTAAGAACTGGCTTTATGAATTTGGGTGCTCTTGTATTGGGTACATATATATTTAGTATAGTTAGCTCTTCTTGTTGCATTGATCCTTTTACCATTATGTATTGCCTTCTTTATCTCTTTTGATCTTTTTTGGTTATAGTCTGTTTTATCAGAGACTAGGATTACAACCCCTGTGCTTTGTTGTTTTTTTTTTCTTTTTTCTTTATTTGCTATCCATTTGCTTGGTAAATATTCCTCCATCCCGTTATTTTGAGCCTATGTATGCTTTGCACATGAGATCGGTCTCCTGAATACAGCACACCAATCGGTCTTGACTCTATCCAATTTGCCAGTCTGTGGCTTTTAACTGGGGCTTTCAGCCCATTTACATTTAAGGTTAATATTGTTATGTGTGAATTTGATCCTGTCATTATGATGCTAGCTGGTTATTTTGCCCATTAGCTGATGTGGTTTCTTCGTAGTGTCAATGTTCTTTAAAATTTGTTTTTTTTGCAGTGGCTGTTACCAGTTGTACCTTTCCATGTTTAGTGCTTCCTTCAGGAGCTCTTGTAAAGCAGGCCTGGTGGTGACAAAATCTCTCAGCATTTGCTTTTCTGTAAAGGATTTTATTTCCCTCCACTCATGAAGCTTAGTTTGGCTGAATATGAAACTCTGCATTTAAAATTCTTTTCTTTAAGACTGTTGGATATTGGCCCCCACTCACTTCTGGCTTATAGGGTTTCTGCTGAGACAGCCGCTGTTAGTCTGATGGGCTTCCCTTTGTGGGTAATGTGAGCTTTCTCTCTGGCTGTCCTTAACACCTTAACATTTTTTCCTTCATTTCCACCTTGGTGAATCTGATGATTATGTGTCTGGGGGTTGCTCTTCTTGAGGTGTATCTTTGTGGTGTTACATGTATTTCCTGAATTTGAATGTTGGCCTGTCTTGTTAGGTTGGGGAGTTTCTCCTGGATGATATCCTGAAGAGTGTTTTCCAAGTTGGTTCCATTCTCCCCCTCACTTTCAGGTACACCAATCAAATATATGTTTGCTCTTTTCACATAGTCCCATAATCCCTGGGGGCTTTGTTCATTTCTTTGCATTCTTTTTTCTCTAATCTTGTCTTCAAGCTTTATTTCATTAAGTTGATCTTCAATCTCTGATATCCTTCCTTCTGTTTGATCGATTTGGCTATTGATGCTTGTGTATGCTTCATGAAGTTCTCGTGCTGTGTTTTTCAGCTCCATCAGGTTATTTATGTTCTCTTCAAACCAGTTATTCTAATTAGCAATTCCTCTAACCATTTTTCGAGGTTCTTAGCTTCTTTGCATTGAGTTAGGACATGCTCCTTTAGCTCAGAGGAGTTTGATATTACCCAATTCTTCTATTTGTTATTACCCAATTACTTCCATCAATTCATCAAACTCATTCTCTGTCCAGTTTTGTTTCCTTGCTGGCGTGGAATTGTGATCCTTTGTGGGAGAAGAGATGTCTGGTTTTAGAAATTTTCAGCCTTTTTGCATTGGTTTTTCCTCACCATCATGCATTTATCTACCTTTGGTCTTTGATGTTGGTGGTGGAGTTTCTGAGTGGACGTCCTTTTTGTTGATATTGATGCTATTCCTTAGTTTTCCTTTTAATTGTCAGGCCCCTCTGCTGCAGGTCTGCTGGAGTTTGCTGGAGATCCACTCCAGACCCTGTTTGCCTGCGAAGGCTGCAGAACAGTAAAGATTGCTGCCCGTTCCTTCCTTTGGAAGCTTCATCCTAGAGGCACACCTGTGAGATGCCAGCTGGAGCTCTCTCCTATGAGGTATCTGTCAACCCCTACTGGAAGGTGTCTCCCAGTCAAGAGTCACGGGGTCAAGGACCCACTTGATGCAGGAGTCTATCTCTTAGGAGAGCTTGAACGATGTGCTGGGAGGTATGCTGCTCTCCTTAGAGCCAGCAGGCAGGGACATTTAAATCTGCTGAAGCTGCACCCACAGCCATCCCTTCCTTAAGGTGCTCTGTCTCAGGGGGATGGGGGTTTTATCTCTAGGCCCCTAACTGGGGCTGCTGCCTTTTTTTTAGAGATCCCCTGCCCAGAGAGGAGGAATCTAGAGAGGCAGTCTGGCTACAGAGGTTTTGCAGTGCTGCGGTGGGCTCCACCCAGTTCAAACTTCCTGGCAGCTTTGTTTACACTATGAGGGGAAAACTGCCTACTGAAGCCTCAGCAATGGCGGACTCTCCTCCTCCAACCAAGCTCGAGCATCCCAGGTCAACTTCAGACTGCTATGCTTGCAGGAAGAATTTCAAGCCAGTGGATCTTAGCTTGCTGGGCTCCATGGGGGTGGGATCTGCTGAGCTAGACCACTTGGCTCCCTGGCTTCAGCCCCCTTTCCAGGGGAGTGAATGGTTCTGTCTCGCTGGCATTCCAGGTGCCACTGGGGTATGAAGAAAACTCCTGCAGCTAGCTCAGTGCCTGCCCAAACAGCCACCGAGTTTTGTGCTTCAATCCCAGGGAGCTGGTGATGTAGGCACCCAAGGGAATCTCCTGGTCCGTGTGTTGTGAAGACGATGGGAAAAGCATAGTATCTGGGCCAGAGTGCACCCGTTCCTCATGGCACAGTCCTTCATGGCTTCCCTTGGCTAGTGGAGGGAGTTTGCCAACCCTTTGTGCTTCCCGGGTGAAGCAACACCCCACCCTGCTTCTGCTCACCCACCATGGGCTGCACCCACTGTCTAACCAGTCCCAATGAGATGAGCCAGGTACCTCAGTTGGAAATGCAGAAATCACCCACCTTCTCTGTTGATCTTGCTGGGAGCAGCAGACTGGAGCATCTCCTATTTGACCATCTTGCCAGCCACCAAACATAACTATGATATGCACTGAGAAATCTAAAAATTTGTGTGACACTTTACTGCGTCAGTTGCTTTATTGTAGTGATCTAGAAGAGAACCCACAGTATCTTCATGGTATGTCTATAAATATTAGATTATTTAATTTTCAAATCATATACATATACCAGTAATTTTACATATATAACTTTACTTAATACTCAAAACAATCCATTTCATTAGGTGCTATCTTATTGTCTCCATGTCCAAGGTTAAATTCAATATAACTAATCCAACCATTTATATTTTCATAATTATTACAAAATGCACACTTTTTTATTTCACATGTACATGGTGTATCACTTTAACTTTGTCAAAATAAGACAAAAAGTAAATAGAGACTTCAGACTGAAAGATCAGAATAAACCACAAAAAATCTGATAATTTAATTATCAAAATCGATTACAGAGTAAAAATTGTTTATACTTTAATTGCCTTGCATTGTAAATTTACAGAATAAAAGATCAGTGTAATTTTCACCTCTTCTTGAAGATAGAGCCTCAAAGACTATGTTAGCAACATGAATATAAATAATTAGGAAATTCTACAGTTTATAATCTTGATAGTATTCACAAACTTGTTTTTCACAATTACCCACTCTGAATGAAAAAGTAGGGAATTTCTTGCAGTAATCAACTTAGCCCAAAGACAATGTGATGTATCTTCATTCTGACTTAATAATAATGAGACTATTGCTACATGTCTTCTAATTTCTTGAGAACCAGTGAAACCACCATCAGTATCCCTAACAGATTATTGGTATTATAAAATATCTCTATTGACAAATGCTTTGTGAGTACAAATATAGACTCACTGTCCAAATAAAATAAGGCTGTATTTTCCCAGTCATTCATCTATCTATCCATCTATCCATCCCTCCATCCATACTTAAATTTATGTCTGAGGTTACAATATTTTGAATTTTTGAAATCAGACCTTGGCGATGACCTTGAGCAGTAGGATGCTTAGTGTTCCAATAATGGAACTCTATGCATAAATGGCCTAAACACACAGATAAGGAAGACATGCAGTATACCAGGTGCCAAACAGGTGGTGGAAAAAACAAGCCAATATACACATGCTCTGCTGCCAAGTAGCTTCTAATACCGATTGATTGACTGAAAAGTCAATATTTACCTTCAATACAACATCGTAAAGAACAGAATCAATGTACAAAGCATTTTAGAAACACTAATTGGATATAAATAATGACTATGTTTAATTAGGTAATGTTTTATAGAGTAGAATTGTGGAGAGAACATTTTTGGAAGAGAGGATGAAGCATTTTAATGCACTGAGTATAACAAGTTATCTTTATTTCTGAAAATGTGATAAATTTAAAATAGTTAACACATAAGATGTTCATGGCATAATTGCTGTTTATGAGATTGGAAGGGTAAGTTAGATATTGACTATTCTTAAACGATTTAAATACCATTCATTTGAATATCCAATTCTTTCTAATAGCTTTTTGAGAGCATTTTTCACATCCTTGTTTCTGAAACTATAAATTATTGGATTAAACATGGGAAATACAACAGTATAAAACACTGCCACCACCTTATCAGTGTCTAGGGAATAGCTAGTGGTGGGCTGTAAGTACATAAACAGGAGCGCTCCATAGAATAAGGTGACTGCTATGAGGTGGGAAGCACAAGTGGAGAATGTTTTGCTTCTGCCACCTGAGGACTTGATGCTCAACACAGTGATGAGGATGCAGAAGTAAGAAATAAATATTACCACAAAAGTGCTGGTCTGGATGAAGCTGCACAAAGCAAAGAGCAGAAGCTGGTTGATCTGAGTGTCTGTACATGATAAAGCCAGAAGAGGTGGGATATCACAGAAAAAATGATTGACGATATTGGAGCCACAAAATGACAGCCTGAATGTGAGGCACACATGGACCAGTGATGTTGTACTTCCACTGAAATATGCCAACACAATGAAGCAGACACAGACTCTCCTAGACATCAGTGTAGTATAGAGCAGTGGGTTGCAGATGGCTGCATAGCGGTCATAAGCCATTGCTGCCAGGATAAGGCACTCAGCATCAGCAAAAGAAGCGAAGAAAAACATTTGTAGTGCACACCCATAAGGAGAGATGCTTTTCCTGGATGCCAAGAAGTTTGCCAGCATTTTAGGAGTGATTGCTGTAGAACAGCTGATGTCTAAGAAAGATAAGTTGCTAAGAAAATAATACATGGGAATTTGAAGGCTTGAATTAATATTAACTAGAATTATTAAGAGTATATTTCCGACCATAGTTAATGTATATACCAGAAGGAATACCAAGAACAGTGTGACTCTGAGAGGTAGATAATCTGTGAATCCAACAAATAGGAACTCAGTTGGCATGGTGTAATTACTCTCCAACATCTTAGTTTTCTTGTTTTTCCCACTGGACCTAGGTAGTATCAGCAGATGTGAGTTAACTTGAGTTATGGATGAACCAAAAGTATCTTTATTCTCTCTTCTAAGGAATCAAATAGAAGGTCAGTAAAATCACAGAGATGTCATTTTTTGTAAATTTTGATTTTGATTTTGTCATTTGATTAAAGGAAGTATAATAATTAAAGATCACCATTGATAGCAGAAAATGTTATTTAGATGGTGGTGTTTTATAATATAGTACCTCTTTAAACGCGCTGCACTTTATGTGATGATAATAGTTTTTACAAGCTGAAAGGGATAAATGTAGCTCATGTAATGAGACCTAGTAGAATAATGAGAGTTGGCAAAATCTTTAGAGGCAAAGCTCTCTTTTTGCAACCCTAAAATCACATTCTTCTACATAAAGGAGAGTTGAGATAAAATATGAAAGAATGTCCATATTTAAAACTGTGTAATCACACAGAAGAATATCTGTGATGTTGGGAGGTTACTTAACGTGGTAGTTAAGAGCATGGTAATTATGGAAGAGATGGCTGGATTTACAACTTGGCTTTGCTATTTACTGTTTGTGTGACTTTGGTATAGTTATTTGACTTTCTGTGATAGTTAAGATGAATAAATAAATATTCCTAGTAAGTAGACATCCCTACATCACTTATGTGACTACACATACAAGTCACTGTGTGAGCGCTGATTAAATAAAATTTATTAAAAATAAATAAATTGACTCCATTTTGATTGTTTTGGGGTTTTTTTTGTCTGAACACCATGAAATATCCAGATCATTCTCAATATTCATCTTGTCTTTGACATCATAGATGCATTATTTGTTTTCTGTTGTAAAAATAAGTCGTGTGTGTGTGTGTGTGTGTGCTATATACAAATGTATTGTTTGGCATACTAAATCTTTTACTCATGCCCTATCATTGTTGCTTTCTTTTTCAAGATTTAGTTTACTTTCTAATCTCTGAAGTAAGCACTGTTTGGTGTGAGGTTCCAGAAACATTAGTATGTTTTGAAGGGCTGCATATGCGATTGGACTTCTAAACTGGTTCTGTAAGGACAAACATTGTATGGAAAAATGAAAAAATAATCAAGAACAAGAAAAGCTGAGATGATTTTAAATAAAATACAATGCGAATGGAATATTAAGCAGGAAGCTAGATCATTTGGAAGTGAGAAGTGTCTATGGTGAGTAACGTAGTGAGTAACTAAGGGAAATTATGAGATCTATTGTCTCTATCATGCCTGATAACCTCAGAACCTCCTTTCTCCAGCCAAATGGCAAGGAATCTTCTAAATGTACCGAAAAGAGAAGCCAGCCTTCTTTGTGAACTCAGATTTTTTAGAAGAGCAAATAACTTGACAGGGTAAGAATGCAATGTGTGTACCTAAAACTATAGTGAAGAAATCCCAACTCTGAAAAAATACTAGAAAAATGTACACATTTGCAAGCTTTATATAATATTCAAATCCTCACAACTGGATGTATATTTTCTCTATTATTCCTGGCCAACCCTAGCAAATTTCCACACTAACATTTCCGATGGGATGGCTAAATCGAATACACAGGCTCATCCAAACAAGTGACATTTCCATTAATGATTTTAATGAGTTTATATATTATATCCAAAAACAAGTTATGGGATCAAAGTCTTATTTTTCTTTCTTGAGTCCCATGACAACTACAAAACGATTTAAAGGGGTTTTGTAGTCAATTGTCCAGTGAGAGACTGAGCATCTCAAGACAACTTTCCTTTTCCTACAGGATTTATCTCACGCTGCTCTGAACTGAAATCAGAAAAATCTCCCAAAATGAGTTGGACCCCACTGGATCTTAGGGAAATCTCATTTGACAAACCTCCTATTTCTAAAAGATGTCTATTAATAAACTTTATTTGCTATTCTCTTTGAAGGAGATACGCAGATAGCAGAAATATTAGTACTGATTTCACTCAATCTTTTCTTTACAAATGGCATTGTGCTGAGCTTAAGCACACAGGATTTGAAGTTAGGCAAATGAGTATAAATAACCTCAGGTCCAAATATAATTTTCTAGAACTCATTGAACTTCTCTATGCCTAAATTATTTGTTATATTTAATTAGCATAATAATATATTATAAGACTGAAATCAAGATTGAACTAGGTAGCTTTACAGAGGTTGGTATGCTGTAGATGCATCAAAATGTATGTTATTATATATTATAATTATTACTATTAATGCTATTATGATTATTTAACAATTCAATATCTGACTTTGAAATGACAAATTCTCCTAGTTTGTTTTTATATGAACAAACACAAACAATTAACCACACTGCAGGTGAATATGTGATTTGTGCTTATAAAATCTGAGGTTTAGCATGCTGCTACAGAAAATTATTACACCATTGTTTTTCCAAAAATTCTTAATAGGCATAGTCAGCTTCCTTCTCATGGCAATAAGGTACACAACGAATTGGGCGTGACATTTTTTTTTCTAATTGCCATGGATAAGGTAAGCTTAGGTCTATGCTACCACCGTCTTCTGCCCACTCTTAGCCCACATACATACACAAACTGAAACACACCACACACACACACACACACACAGAAATAGCAGAGATACATTTTATCTGAGGCAAATTCATGGTCTTTGCTACATTCACAACAAACATTTTGTTAATGCTTTAGGGAAAAAATCACTTACCTCAGCACCATCAAGAACTTTGAATTTTATCACTTATTTTGCACAATGGGCTATCAACATTTTTCTCTAGGTTTTAGAAATAATTCTTATAAGGGATGAGTATATATATTCTAGTCTGTGACAAGTGAGACAGTGTCCCAAGATAATTTCCAATCCCAGTAGGGTGTCTGATAGTTAATTGTTCTCATCCTAGTGGTATAGGTATGTGGCTTAGCTGATTTCTCTTAAATGAAAAAAGGTAAAGGATAATAACACAATTGGCTATACTGTAACCAGTAATAACATAACCTGTCTTCATCATTGAGAGAGGTTTGATTAAAACAACAGTCTTTTAATTCTACCAGCCAAAAAAAAATTCTTCTGTAAATTCTTATTTCTATCAGTTCTCATTATGAATTCAGTTACTTAATGATACTTTGAAGTATTTAGTCATATTATCGAATTCTAAAGTACAAGCTCAATATATTGAGAAGAATCTCAGGCACTCTAATGTTTGGTTGCTTTTCCATTGTTGGAGTGTCTAGAAAGAAGTATGCCTTGAATGTTAAGCTACTAGAGTAAACACTGGTGATTCAGGCAACCTAGAGCAGTTGTGCCATTTCATGGCTATGGGACCTTGAACTACTCATTTAAACTAATGTTTACTAATTTTTAAATTGTGAATAATAATTGCACACATCAAATTCTTGTCAAGATTGAGATGACTCAAGGCCACTTGTTCAACAGATGGTACTTGTTCCATGACTCTACGTTTTCTCTAACAATTATAGCACTGTTTGCAACAGTATTTTTTAATACTTTATAACACTGCTCTAGATTGTAATGTTCTTTAAATGATTGATGATGGCATAGTCTATACCTTATGATTCTTAAGATTGACAGACTAGGGAGTGGATAAATACAGGATCCCACCTGGCTTCTCTTCTATACCTGGTAGGAAAATTGAAATCAGTTTTGTGGCTTCCAGAAGGGCTTTCTATTTAATAGGTGGACCTATGTTAGAAAGAGAAGGTTTAAACAAAGTTGTCAACCTTTGAGAGCATCCAGTAAATGGTTCAAAAATGCACTCATTCATATAGAAGATGAATGTAATCTCGAAAATTGAAAGCAGCTTATTCATGGGTTGTGTCCTTTATGTGGTAGGAAATATAAGGTTTAGAAAAAGATGCTTCCATGTAAGGAATCACAGAAAGCCCCCAGATGCCTGGACCTACAGAAACAAGGATTCTAAATTGCTGATATTTCCAGTTTTCCATATTATGTTTTGTCTTCAATATGGTGGATAACTGTGTCCTTTAATGGGATAATGAAAGGCAAATTGACTTTTTTCTTCAGAGGCTGAAATGTACAAATTTAGAGACTAATATTGACATTTTGTGTTTCTCCTGCTAAGAACAAGTAAAATGACTGAGGAAGTTTGCTTTCCTTTTGTGGGTTAGGGAGGGGGAGGAAATACTATACAGATTAAAAGCTACAAGGAGGGTACCATGGGCTGTACGGTAAGAAGACCACATCTGGAATGATAGTTTTAAATAGAAATAGATAGTTGATCAAATTAATAAAGAATAATTAACTCATATTTTTGAAGACTCATTTTTCTTCTGTACTGGCAAAATAAAAGAGCCAAATGTAATTACATTAGAAACTTAGCCATCTATATATTTTTAAATGTTAGTATTGTGCAGTAAAGGATAAACTCAACTATCTGGGGTCTTCAGAACTGGCCCTGACAACCTCTGAAATATCCTGTCTTCGAATATCCTGTCCGATAAGGGCATCTTTATATACTTTGGCTCAGTTTACACTCATGGTATGATTTATTCTGCTTGCCTGTTTTTGCGTACCTGGGGCTTCTAGGTTATGCTGTATTCATATGGGCCATTTGAAGACTACGTATCTAAGATCAGGTAAGTGGGTTCTCCATGCCCATGTGACTGACCCTCAATCAAACCCTGGAAACAATTATTTGGTAAGCTTCTGTGATTGGCAATATCCCATACTTGTTATCAGACAATACTCCTGGGAGAATTAAGTATTGCCTGTGTGATTCCACTTAAGAGGACAAGTGGAAGCTCGTACTTGGTTCTCCTGGAAACTGACCTATACACTCTTTTCCTTTTACAATTTAATCCATATCTTTGTGAAACAGGTTCACTGTGTACTGGTTATCAACTTGTCTGGGCCCAGTGAGACAGAACACCCATACACACAAGTTGCATGAAGCAGGCAGCAAAGGACAACAGAAGCCCAGGACTTTTTGAAAGCTGGGCTTCCAAAGTTCAGGAAAGAGGCCCAGACTGAATGGGGTTTCATCTGCATATGCCTCACTTGCACTGCAGCTGAGGGAACCCAGAAAGCAGCCTATCCTGGTTTTGTACCCTAGGGTTAGAAGAATTGCTGGGGCCAAAGCCTTGAAGGACAGTCTGTTTCTAAAGTGAAGGAGGCATTGGCCAGAACAACATGTGCTCTGTTCCAGCTGCCTCGCCTATCTCAGAATGTTATATTTCCAGTAGGTTCTACAGTTATTTTTGAGAATTACACGTGAGGGAGGAGGGACAACTGGACTACTCAAAGGCTACCTGGAAAACTGTCCTCCAATCTTTAGTGGTAATAAACCATAACCATAAGCATAATAGCTTTTCTGAGTTCTGTGAGTTCTTCTAGTGAATCATTGAAACTGGTGATAGTCTTTGGGATCTCTGATACAAGTACTAAGTTCTAATGTCCTCAAGTGTATTTTTTAACAAGATTTCAACCATCTTTATTTTATATTAGGTAAAATATATAAAAATATATGACAGTTATAAAATATTTTATTGTAAAATATTAGGTAAACATTTAGTTAAATCCAAAAATGTCTATATAAATCAGAAAGCAAAAGAAATACTTATAAACTCACCACAGAAATTAATTAAAAAACAAAAAATCTTGAATATTGCCAAAATTGGAAATTCTCTATGATCATCTTCATTATCTTGCTTCCCTGACAGTGGCAGCTACTTTTCTGCATTATTCCCTATATTTCAATTTTTTTTTTTTTTTTGAGGTGGAGTCTTGGTCTGTCACCCAGGCTGGAGTGCAGTGGCATGATCTTGGCTCACTGAAACGTCTGCCTCCTGGGTTCAAGCGATTCTCCTGCCTTAGCCTTCCGAGTAGCTGGGACTACAGGCGTGTGCCACCAGGCCCAACTAATTTTTTTGTATTTTTAATAGAGGGAGGGTTTCACCATGTTAGCCAGGATGGTCTCAGTCTCCTGACCTTGTGATCCACCCACCTTGTCCTCCCAAAGTGCTGGGATTACAGGCGTGAGTCACCACGCCTGGCCCCTAGATTTCAATTTTGAAAATAATTTCATCTATATTCCTAAAACGATTATTTTAATAAATCTCCTTTTTAAAATTTTTGAACATTGTAAATGTGATATCACGTTTGTCATCTACAGAGCTTATGTTTTTCTTTAATATTGTGTTTCTCACATTCTCCCATGTGCATACGTATTTCTTCACTGTAATTTCATAATTTGTTGTATTATTTTTCTTTGCTGTATCATAATTAAATTGCCTATTACCTAATTTTATGACCAATGCTACTATTAATGTTATTTTACTCTTCTCTAAGCACACATGTACAAGAGTCTGCATTGATTGCATATAGGGTATACATATAGGGTATACAACTTTAAAATATAGCAAATTATTTTCTAAATTTCTTTTTTTGTTTTTTTTTCTTCTCTTAGTACCATTTTAATATGTAAATAAAATATACGTCATTGCAACATTTTTTTATTTGTTTTTATTATTGTACTTTAAGTTTTAGGGTACTTGTGAACAATGTGCAGGTTTGTTACATATGTACACATGTGACTTATTGGTATGCTGCACCCATTAACTTGTCATTTACATTAGGTATATCTCCTAATGCTATCCCTCCCCACTGCCCCCACTCCACGACAGGCCTCAGTGTGTGATGTTCCCCTTCCTTTGTCCAAGTGTTCTCATTGTTCAATTCCCACCTATGAGTGAGAACATGCGGTGTCAGGTTTTTTGTCCTTGTGATAGTTTGCTGAGAATGATGGTTTCCAGCTTCATCCATGTCCCTACAAAGGACATGAACTTATCCTTTTTTATGGCTTCATAGTATTTCATGGTGTATATGTGCCACATTTTCTTAATCCAGTCTATCATTGCTTGTTCATATCTACAATCTCAACAACAGAACATAACACCTCAGATAACTTGTATTTGCTAATGCTTTTTATACTCTGAAATTAATATTTTCTGCCAATATAATAGGGGTGATAGATATTTTTAATCTTTAACACACCTGGAATAATTTGTTGTGTATTATATGAGGTAGGAATCTTAGACAGTATATTTTTTGCAGTTTTTTAAAAAATGTAAGTTCTCTATCTTCAATGGTGCTCTATGATATATTAAATTTTCATTTTTGTGTAGGTCTGGTTCTGGGTTCTCTATTGTGATCACTTGTCAATGTTCCATTTTCATCATTGCTACACTTTCCTATTATAGCATTGATACAGGCTTACTTGGTACTTCTTCAGGAATGTCTTGGCCCTTTTTGTTCTGGGTTATTACTAAAAAAATTATAACCAGCTTGTCACATTAATTGAGAATATTATTGAAATATTATTTGGAATTATGTTGTATTTATAAACCAATATTGTAAAAAGTATATCTTTATAAGAATCATCCTCATAAACATGGAGTCACTGATTATTTACATTATTGATGATCTTTTAAAAATATTTTATAATTGTTTCCATAAAGGTTTAGCGTATCTGTTGTTAATTATATTTTCCTAAGGTCCTTGTATATTATAAAAGTTTTCCTTTAAAAATTAACGTTAAATAATTTCTGCTATGGCAAGGAAATACAACTAAACTCCAGATACTGATCCTATATTCAACAACCCAAAGTTTTTTATTAATTCATCTAATGTGTCATTTTATCCCCTTGCATGAGTATATTTCTTATACTTTTTTTTTTTTTTTTTTGAGACAGTCTTGCTCTGTCGCCCAGGCTGGAGTGCAGTGGCATGATCTCGGCTCACTGCAAGCTCTGCCTCACGGGTTCATGCCATTCTCCTGCCTCAGCCTCCCCAGCAGCTGGGACTACAGGCGCACGCCGCCACGCCCAGCTAATTTTTTGTATTTTTAGTAGAGACAGGGTTTCACCATGTTAGCCAGGATGGTCTCGATCTCCTAACTTTGTGATCCGCCCACCTCAGCCTCCCAAAGTGTTGGGATTACAGGCGTGAGCCACTGCACCCGGCCTTCTTATACATTTTTTAAAGTTTTGTTTATATTTTGTTTTGTTTTTCCTCACCTAATACAGCCTCCAATAAATTATTACCTTGTAAACTAGAATTGGAGATATTGGACAGTGTTGTCATTTAGAAAATTTTAAAGTGAATACCTTTTAACTTCTGTTTATCAGCCTTTATCATAAAATGTACATTCATTCATAAATTCTAATTGAAGTTGTGACTAAGCCTTTCAATGCATCTTACCTAGCTTGCCCTGAACCACTATAGACATAAAGAAAGACAGAAAAATCCCATTTGTAATCACAAATTATTTAAAACAAAAGTTCAAGCAACTAAAATAATAACATTTTAGCCATTAAATTGGATGCACAAGAAGGCCATAACATTAAAGGTTATCCACTATTTTTGAAAGCATTGTCATTTCAACTTTTTGTCTGGAAATTTACAGTGTTAATTCTGCCACCTTTTGAGACAGATTAACCATTCAAAGGGAATGTCCAATAAACCTCATTATTCATAATATTTGAGGCATTATAGCTTAAATTCCAAGAATATATAGAGTAATTATTATTAAAAGGATAAATATCATAAACAATGATTATCCTGAGAGAAAACTAAACATATGGTAAAGAAATTAAGACTCCTCTAGAACTCTTTTTACTTTACTGTAACAAATCCCTTTGGAAATTATGAATTATTCCATTTCGCATTAGGGAAAATATAGAGTTTAGCATTAGAATGTTTTTTAACTATGTTAATTTTATTCAGTCTCAAGGGAAATCAATAGATATTCCAATTATTTAATAAATCACATATTTTTATTGTTCTCCATTAAAAGACCCACATGTATATTTCAACAACAAAATGACTATAAGACCAATTTTTCTTCATTCTTCATTGCAATTTATTATATGCATTTGTCTTAGTAACACAATGAAACTTATTAGAGTAAAATATTAGGATCCTGAAGTCATCCTTATATAAATGACTTCTACAGACATGCTTCCATTCTAAGAAGTAATGAAAAATGAATTTAATCATTTATAAAACTGACTTCAATAATATTTTTAAACATTAAAAATGAGTTAAATCTATTAATTCTTTTATTCATCACTTTATTCAAAAATATTTATTGAATGCCTGTGGCAGAAACTATTTAATTAACCTAGTCAATAATTGCAAATATGTATGCTCTAAAATAGTTTATTAGAAAGGTAAAGAAGAGAAAGATGTAATAACTGAAAATTATATATTTTATTATATCCTGTGAATATAATTCAATAGGTTTTTGTAATTAAGGGCTTCACTCATTCTTCGACATTGAGGTTTTGTTTTGTTTTGTTTAATTTTAGCTATAGAAAGCACAATAATCTTATATAATAAAATCAAGATGTGAAAATACAAGTCAACAAAATAATGTCATCTTTATCATGTAACTCAGTGACTAACAAAGATATTTACTTTATTTGAAAAGTATCCATTCAAACTTCTTTTTCTACATTTCTTCTCCTCCTCGTTCTCCTCCTCCCTCCTCCTCCTGCTCTTCCTCCTCCTCCTGCTCTTCCTCCTCCTCCTCCTTGTTCTTCTTCTTCTTTTTCTTCTTCTTCTTCTCCTTCTTCTTCCTCTTCTTTTCTTCTTCTTCTTCCTTCTTCTTTTTCCTATTCTTCTTCTTCTTCCTATTCTTCTTCTTCTTCCTTGTCCTTCTTCTCCTTCTCCTTCTTCTTGCTTGTCGTTGAGTGACCCGTGAAAATCTAGAACTTACTCTACATCTTATAAACTGCAATGTTCTCTTGATCAGTATACAATTTATACCCAGTCAAGAGACTACAATTGTCAAAACACTAATCTCTTATGCACCTTCCCTGAAAGTCAATGTCTATATTACTTTATGAGATAATTAGAAGGAAACAAATATAAATAAAGGCATAAATACATAGAAAGAAGGGTGTAAATATGTAAATCTTCAGAGATATTATTATGTTAAAATAATAAAACAAGTCCATTGGATTTAGCTAAAACTGGGTTACCAATGACATTGAAGAGAAAATTCAGTGATAAAGATACAGTACAGATGCAGGGATCTCAAACTTTATGGCATCTCTACCCAAAGATATAGTCCCTTCCTCTTGGAAAAATAATCCTAAAAAGCTGAACATTTTAGCCTTTAAAATTTTTACATTTGTATAATGCAACTTAATGCATTATAACAGAAATACCAAGAACATTAGTTATTATCAAGGCAATTTTCCGAGTTAGTCTAGACCTTTCTGGACATTTTACATTTTTTATCACTGTAGTAGCCCATGGTTTTTTTTGTTGTTATTGTTATTGTTTATATTCCCTGTATTATAATTAAAGGAGACATCAGTAGTAAAATAGTATTTCCTGTGCCTATGAACATTGTACCCCCATTAATAAAATGACCCCTTAAGATGTTTCCCTAAGTCTGACAAAAATCACAGAGGTCATGACTCTTCAATTAATTATTATGGTGAAGGAGTTAAAGGCAAGCACCATACCACATAGTTTGGATTAAGGATTAGAATTTGGAGAAAGTTTATAAACCAGACGTTTTTGATAGAGGAGACATATAACCCTTACATCCTCATTGCTACATAGTGATATGGACAAACTGCTGGGTATATGGTGGGTTTGCATTCCAGAAGACAACCTTGTCTCCATTGCTTAATTTGTTTATGGAGTCAGTACTTGCGTGTGGCCTAAATGGATGATGAATATTATAAACTCAGATGCCAAAGTATGAATATGGGTTGGGGTTTGGGAGAGTGCTGATAATTTTTGGTTTCCCAGAATCTGAATCCTTGAAACTCAGGAAGATTCAAACCTCTGGTGGATAATGATGTGGGTAGAATAAAAGTTACTGGTTTTCTAGTCAATTCTGCAATGATTTTTGCAATAATAAGAAATTCTTCCTGCTTACAGTTATTGTAGATATTTATAAAAGTTGAATAATTCTGAGAATATAAAATAATATAGGCCTTCATTAATTCAAAGCCTTTATAGTTTAATGGAAAATTCATTTACCTGTTTTAAGATTCCCACTAGTCACACAAGCTTTATCATCTGTTAGAAAATACATTTTACATATATTACTGTTCCATCAGGTTCAAACATTAAACACTTATATGTCTTAAAAATAAACTGAATGTTTGATTCATTCAAGACTTCCTTTATAAAAGGTCATTCATTTTATATAAATATAAAAGATATATATATGATTATATATGTGATAATCCAGATATGAGTCAAAGAAGAATAAGACAAATCATTTTTTAAGTTTTTGGGTTTGGAAGTCATGTTATCTAATTGAGATGGCAATGTTATTATTTGTGGGCAAATTCTTTAATCTATGGTAAGATGTAAAATTAGTTGTCAAAAGTTATTAGAAAATTATAATCAGATTACTACATTTATGTGTGTTAACAAGGAATTTGTGTATATCTGGCGTTATTCGTATATGTGTTATTTAGTATAATTTGTTTTATAATATAAAGAGTCTTGCTGCCCCCTCTCCATATATATAATTTGATTTAAACTTGAAATTTAAATTTGAAATCTAAGTTATTAGTATTATATTATTTGAAAGTTCTTAAGTTTAGTTCTACTTATAAGTATAGTTTATTAAATATATGTATGATTTGTTTTATTACTTTCCATTAATTTGAAGCATTCAAAATAAAAAATTCATAAAATATAAATGTACACCTCCCATTTAAACTATTTGAAGATTTTTAATTAACTACTTTTGTAAAGGAGATCAATCATTATGCAAAGGTCCCTCAGAAGTGATGGTTAAAATCTACTAAGTATATGTAGAAAATAAGCCTTAAATATCAAAGTAACAGTTTCAAGATTTTACAGTGTTCCATCTTATAACTGAAGAGACTTTGAATAGACTTTTGTGTAAACAGTACCACCTTTCCTCATCTAAAATATGGGGGAAATAATCATGACAACCCCAACAAGTGATGTAGAACATTTATTGAGAATTTAAATATAAAACTATCCTATAATGCTTAATGTATTATGAATTCCCTATATGAGTAGACTCGCTTTCATATGGACCCCAAGTGTGGTTTATTTTACTATCTTGAGAATTGAGATCTAGAAAATATGAACTTTCATCCCCTTGTAGAATCAGAATCACAAATAATAATTTCAAAAAGACCACACAACTTTAAAATTTTAAAAAGAAATTAGGTTTTCTTATTCATTATCCTATTTGCTTAGGATAGAGTATTTCTTTAAACATTGTAGAATGGATATTAGCAAGTTTCCCTTTCTTGTTACTTATAATGAGAAATAGAGCTAGATTGGAAGTTAAACATACAGACAAAGGAATGCACACACACACACACGGAGAGAGGGAGAGAGAGAGAGAGTGACAAAAGGGATACGGGATGTTAAACAAAATTTATCGGAGGCCATTTTTTTGAACTGGTCTCCTAAATGCCAGGTAATCAAACTAAACTTGAAACAATCCTGTTTTCCAAATACACAGGAGATTTCAGCCAAACTGAGTCGGCCTAAAACGGAACGTGAACCCTAAAAGTAGCTTTGAAATAACCAAGCTTTTTTTTTTTTTTTTTTTTTTGAGACAGAGTCTTGCTCTGTCTCCCAGGCTGGAGTGCAGTGGCACGATCTCGGCTCGCTGCAAACTTGGCCTCTCGGGTTCAAGTGATTCTCCTGCTTCAGTCGCCCAAGCAGCTGGGATTACAGGCGCCCGTCACCACGCCAAGCTAATTTTTTGTTTTTTAGTAGACATGGGTTTTCACTATGTTGGTCAGGCTGGTCTCAAACTCCGGACCTTGTGATCCTCCCACCTCTGCCTCCCAAAGTGCTAGGATTACATGCACGAGCCACCGCGCCCAGCCCCAAGCTACTTTTTTTCCCCCTATTTCTGCTTTCTCCAATCCTTTTCTGCCTGTAAAGCCAAGCTCCTCTGCTCAGCTCAATGGATCTCTTATCCTATTTTATAGAAGTGATGTTACCCAATTCTAGAGTTGCAAATAAACACCGATTCTATATTTAAAATCATTTGTGTAATTTTGCATTTTGATAGGGAAGAATAATAATTTGGTGTTACGCTATGCATCCAATTGGAATAAGCTAAAACTACAGAGAAAGAAACAATGTAAATGGTCAATACATAACATTTTCACTGACTTTAAATGGGACTTTAAAATTACATAGACGTCAGAAATCACCTTATGATACAAGCGCTAAATAATCTCACTCTGTCATCCAGGCTGGAGTGCAGCGGCGTGATCATGGCTCACTGAAACCTCTTCCTCGGGGGTTGAAGCGATTCCGGTGCCTCAGCCTCCCGAGTAGCTGGGATTGCAGGCATGCGCCGCCACCAGGCACGACTAATTTTTTTGTATTTTTAATAGAGACAGGGTTTTGCCATGTTGGCCAGGCTGGTCTCAAACCCCTAACATCAACTGATCCGCCTACCTTGGCCTCCCAAAAGGTTAGGATTACAGGTGTGAGCCACAACCCCCAGCCTGGGTTTAACTTTCTTTTGAGACTTAAGTTCCTGCCTTTAGAGAATTGACTCCTCAGTTAATACTTACTATCTAGTCGCCAAGATCACCCAATCTGCTTGAAGGAAAACAAAATAAAAATGCAGCTTCATGTATTTAATCAGAAGGTTCAATCTTAAAATTTTTCCAGTGCATAGTTCAACTTTACACTGCTTTTTAAAAATAAAGTTTCTTTTTTATATTTTTTAACCTGCAAGTGAGAATCCCAGTTTAAAAAGAAAATAATAGACTACTTTGGTAAAACTCTGCATGGGACAGAAGTTATAAAGATTTTTTGCTGTTATTCACTTCAGTGGACAGGTACATTTTCTGCTACATAGCATTAATTTGATAATGTACTTTGTAACTAAAATAACTGTTTGGATTACTTTAAAACATTAAATATCATTATTTCTTTAGGATATAATAGATGTCAAAATGTGTGTTATTTGAAATGATTACTATTATTGCAGCAGGTGGCAATGTATAAATTTTGGAGTTAAATGTATAGAGCTGTTTTAAAGGCAAGAAAAAACATGTATTTTAGTTAAACTCACATACCTGCAAAGAAAATAGGAGTGATTTTAGCATTAATGTGTCAGTCTTTGGGATTTGAATGGGGTTTGGTATAGAAAAAATAGTACAATGTATGCACATTTACAGAAACTGAAGTATGTAGACTTAGATCAGAAATTTGAGAGACCTACAACCCAAATTCAATAGAGACCATTGTTTATTAAATTCACATGCTCATCCATTTGTCTTCTAATCATCCTTCAGTCACTTTAATTACTATGCCATATTATCCTAGGTTTTTCCATATGTGAATATCCTTATTAACATTTCTATTTTTTTCTATAAACTTTCAAAGGGAGAAACATTTTCATCTCATATAAAGTTCGCACAAAATATATTTGTCACAAATGACCAGAAAAAATTATACCTCACTGACTGAGTTCATCCTATTGGGATTAGCAGACACGCTGGAGCTACAGATTATCCTCTTTCTGTTATTTCTTGTGATTTACACACTTACCGTACTGGGAAATATCGGGATGATCCTCTTAATCAGGATCGATTCCCGGCTTCACACACCCATGTATTTCTTCCTGGTTAACCTGTCCTTTGTGGACATTTGTTACTCAACCACCATCACCCCAAAGATGCTGGCAGATTTATTATCAGAGAAGAAAACCATCTCTTTTGCTGGCTGCTTCCTACAGATGTACTTCTTTATCGCCCTGGCGACAACCGAATGCATCCTCTTTGGGTTAATGGCCTATGACCGGTATGTGACCATATGTCGCCCGCTGCTTTACTCCTTGATCATGTCCAGGACAGTCTGCCTAAAAATGGCAGCCGGGGCTTTTGCTGCAGGGTTGCTGAACTCCATGGTCAACACTAGCTATGTCAGCAGCTTGTCATTCTGTGGCTCCAATGTCATCCATCACTTCTTCTGCAACAGTCCCCCACTTTTTAAGCTTTCTTGTTCTGACACACACTTGAAGGAAAGCATATTTTCCACTTTTGCTGGTGTGAATAAGGTCGGGGCTCTGCTTGTCATCCTCTCCTCCTATTCCTACGTTCTCTTCTCCATTTTTTCTATGCATTCAGGGGAGGGGAGGCACAGAGCTTTCTCCACGTGTGCCTCTCACCTGACAGCCATAATCCTCTTCTACACCACCTCCATCTATACCTACCTGAGACCTAGTTCCAGCTACTCCCTGATCAGGACAAAGTGGTTTCTGTGTTCTACACAGTGGTGATCCCCATATTGAATCCTCTGATCTACAGCCTCAGGAATAAGGAAGTAAAGAAGGCTTTAGCGAATGTAATTAGCAGGAAAAGGATCCCTTCATTTCTGTGATTTTTTTGCCTAAAAATCTGAGCTAAAGAGCATATTTTAGTTACTT
Organism: Homo sapiens; assembly: GCF_000001405.40. NCBI lineage: Eukaryota > Metazoa > Chordata > Mammalia > Primates > Hominidae > Homo > Homo sapiens. The sequence goes on along the minus strand of NC_000011.10, from coordinate 56,014,967 downwards.
TCAAAGTCTAGTTCATGCCTACAATTTTTGTTAGAATATTTTCTCATTAAACACATTCTGCCAATACTCAAATATTTGTATGCAGTTAGGGATAAAGCAAATTACCCAAAATGATAAAAGACCAAGGGGCCTTTACTTTATAATCATTCTAAATCTTCACTGAGTTCTCATAGTTAGGGGCTTATTTTAATTTTACCTTGACTACAAGAAGAAAAGGATTAAGTGTTTAGAAACCAAAGCCACAATGCCACATGATACTATCTATATACAATATTTTTGATTATCCATTGTTTGTATTTTCCTCATTTATTATCTGTAACAGATGGTTAAATATCACATACAATAGAAATATTTTGAATTAAAATATAATTCCCTTTTTAGGTGGTCAAATTTTTACTTGGAGGGTTGCCTAAATCAAATTTTAAGACTATAGTGTTAACAGACACTGATTTATCCACCTTTTATGTCTCTCCCCTTCCATACAAACCTATATTCATTAAAGTATTCATGTTAATTCGTACAGAAATAAGCTATTAGAAAAGCTACTGTCCTATCAGAATGCATCAATTACAGCTCTTTTTCCATTCTCATTTATTACTCACAAGGTTTTTTAGCCCCTCTGCTAAGGCCTGAATGTTCCCCTCAAAATTTATACGTTGAAACTTGATCACCAATGTGATAGCGTCTTTAGGATGTGATTTTATCATGAGGATGAAGCCCTCATGAGTGGAATTAGTGACCTTACAAAAGTAGTGTGAGAGAGCTGTTTGCCCCTTCTGCTATGTCAGGAAACAGCAAAGAGACACCACCTTTGAAACAGAGAACAAGACGTCAACCACCAAATCTGCTGGTTCTTTGATCCTGGAATTCCCCAGCCTTCAAAACTGTGAGCAATAAATTTCTGTTACTTATAAATTACCCAGCCTAAGGTATTTTATTATTGTAGCCCGAGTGAGCTGAGCCACCCTATTCTTCCTTTCTCTCTTCTAGATTAACACATACACACAAACCACAAGCCACAGGCAGACACATTTAGGTGTTACAGAGTTTAATCAGTGTATACTTTCAAAAGAGGTAGATTAATGGTCACTGAATAAATCTGACACTTTCTTTAAATACTTTCATCAATTTTCTGTATACAGAAACTGTTATTAGTTAGAATAAAATAAAAGTAAATTGAAGTCAATATTAATATTACAGCTAAGCATTATTAATAGGGAGATAGGGAGTTGGCATAGTAGACATGCAGAGGAAACTGAACGAGAACCAGGCCTTCCTAAAGAGACAGCCATACTTATCTGGAGTATCTGAAGGAAAAATTTTCATGGTCTTTGCCTTTGCTGCTGAAATTATACCAGATAGAAGTGGTGACGTTCTCATCATCTGAGATGTGGACACAGCATACATTATAGACTATCATAAAGAGGTCATTCAGGTGAATTTCATAAAAACAATCATATTTTCTTGCAGCCAAACTGAGTTGGCCTAAAACGGACCATTTGAATCCTAAAAGTAGTTCAATGCATTTATATAAAAAGGTTTGGAGTGTATTTTAAAATTTTATTTAACCTAAAATAAATTTAACTTGTAAAAGTATTTTAAAACTCCTAATTATTATATTGGATCTGATTTTCTAATTCTCTTCCTTCTTTGGAATCTGACAGTGTTTGCTTAATACTTTCTTATGAACTTAATAAGGATTTCTTTTTGTCTCTTTACTGTACTATCTCTTTTATTTATGATCTTGTAAGTTTCCTAGTGTTTGCTTTTGCTTGAATGTTTAATGTTACCACATTCCAAAAATATACAGATATAAATGTTTTGTCTTGTTCCACGGTTTTCGAGTAATTTATTTATTCTTTAAAATTAATGAGAGCAGTTTGAAATATATGTCGTCAGGTTTTAGTAGTTTGGTCAATACCCTTATCAGTGATTAAGTGAAGCCAAATAGAGACTAGTTTACAAAATCAAAATGTCACAGAACTGAAAACGTAAGCAAACAAGTTGGAAAAATATGAAAGCCTCCAAATTCAAGAATTAACATGTATCTATATAAAATAAACAAACAAAAGGATATTAGTAGATAGAGTCTTGTGTTAAGGCAGTAAATGTATAACATGTTTTGCTATTACTATGTAAACATATTTTTCAATTTGGCTTGATAAATAAAAACTAGTAAACACATCATTTTCATGGGTGTTTAATACATGAGATGTCATAGACTTTAAAAATAGTAATTAAATGAAGTAACAATCTCTGAATTCACACTGGGGAAATAAAATAAAAATACTATGTTAATTCATTGTCAATATATTTCAAAAGATAGAGATAAGCAAAGTTATGTCAAAAAGGTAATACACAGATGGTCAGGTGTATGGAAAAAAATCAAACACAAGGTAGGTAAGTTGATGTGAGAATATTTAATCTGTAGAAGAGGAAAACACAAAGATAGATTCATTTTATTGATAATATACAGAAACAAATATATAGAATCAAACACAATGTATGACATCAAAAAGCAGAAATGCAGAAATTTGTTTATGAACTTAGATACAATTTACAGCTTTGGTTGAAAATGTGATATTTACTATCTCTACAATTCTCTTTAAATTGTGTGATTTAATGCTGCTATGAAAAGTTGCCAATATCCATGCACTATCTCTAAACCTCAGAAGAGTCCTTGGAATATTTCAGCAATTTAACAAAAATTATTACTCTCATATTTGTTACTAAAACAAGGGGTGATGGATATTAATTAAACTTTGTAAGCAATAAATCGATCTGATAATATGTCGAAAATGCTAAATTTCCCAATCAGGCTTCAAATTCTCAGTCTCTTGAAATTGTATAATCATTGTAACTGTATGTTGTAAAACAAATACAAAGTAAATAAAATGCATATTATTAGCTATGCTATGTTGAGAGTATGTCAGATTTCTTAATATACTGGCTAAAGAAGCAGAAAGATTAAAAAAAAAAAAGAATACACAGAGGGCATGGAAACAGAAGGTTTATAACAACAGAAGCTGGAAGCTGGGAAACGTAATGATTATAAACAGCATACAAATGTGAATAGGCTGGGTGTGATGCTTCACACCCGTAGTCCTAGCACTTTGGGAGGCCTAGATGGGCAGATCCTTTGAGTTCATGAGTTTGAGACCAGTCTTGCCAACATGGCAAAACCCCATCTCTACTAAGAATACAAAAAATAGCCGGGTGTAATGGCATGCTCCTGTAGTCCCAGCTACTTGGGAGGTTGAGATGGGAGGATTGCTTTATCCCAGGGGGTGGAGGCTTCAGTGAACAGAGGTTGTGCCACTGCACTCCAGCCTGAGCAACAGAGCAAGAACTTTTCTCAAAAAGAAAAAGAAGAAAAGAAAAAAAAAATAAATAAAGGTTGAAAAATTATCTTACAAATCATAAAATCATTATGCCCAAATTATGTAAGTCTGTGTAAGAATCATCTGAAATGCTGTATTTGGTGAGCATTAGTCAAAAAGAACAGACAACACATTTTAACAGCAAATGACACCCTAGGCAACATGGCGAAACACCATCTCAAAAAAAAAAAAAAAAAAAAAAAGCCCAAATAACACAGATACATCTATGGTTGTTTGTAATTATATAGCTTTATTCTGTAATAGTAGGGCTCAATACAGCCAAGTAACATGGACTGATAGAATGAGGCTGTGGTGGTTAATTGTATATGTTAATTTAACCAGATTAAAGGATACTTAGGTAATTGATAAAGCATCATTTTTTAGTATGTCTGCGAGGGTATTACCAAGTAGATAAGACTGTGAGTCAGTGGACTGAGTGGGAAAGATCTAAAGTAGATGTGAGTGGGCACCATCTAATCAGCTGGGTGCCTGAACAGAACAAAAAGGCAGAGGAAAGGCAAATTTACACTTTCTCTCCTGGATTTGGGGGCATCCTTTTTTCCAGGCCCTGGACATCAGAACTCCTGGTTCTCCAGCCTTTGGACTCTGGGGTTGACACCAGAGACACCCTCCCAGCTCTGGGTTATCAGGCCTCTGTCTTCCCTGATTCTGCAACCTTTGGACTTTGGCTGAGCCATGTTCCTGGTTTTCCTGGTTCTCCAGCTTGCAGACAGCCTACTGTGGGACTTTTCAGCCTCTGTAATTATGTAAATCAATTCCCCTAATAAAGCTCTCCTCATGTACCTATCTTTACATATATTCCATTGATAAGTCTCTCTGAAAAACCTTGACTAATACAGATTTGTGTGCTAAGAATGGCTGTAGAGAAACATATATATTTTTTTCTTTCCATCTTTTACTTTAAGTTCAGAGAGTATATGTGCAAGTTTCTTACATGGGTAAATTTCACGTCACAGGGGTTGGTGTACAGATTACTTCATCACCCTGGTCATGAGCATAGTACCTGATGGGTACTTTTTCCATCCTTACCCTCCTCCCAGCCTCTCCCTCCAGTACACCCCAGTGTCTATTTTCTACTTTGTGTGAATGTATACTCAATGTTTAGCTTCCACCTATAAGTGAGAACAGGTAGCATTTGGTTTTCTATTCCTAATTTATTTCCCTTGAGACAATGGCCCCCAACTCCAAGCATGTTGCTACAAATGACAAGATTTGATTCTTTTTTATGGCTGTGTAGTATTCCATGGTCTACATGTACCACATTTTCTTGAATTAGTCCACTGTTGATGGGCATCTAGATTGAATACGTGTCTTTGCTATGGTGAAAAATGTTGCCATGAACATACGCTGGCATGTCCTTTTATGGTAGAATGACCCCTTTGGGTATATTCCCAGTAAAGGGATTTCTACCTCAAATGGAATTCCTGTTTTAAATTATTTGAGAAATCTCCAAACTGCTTTTCACAATGACTGAATTACTTTACATTCTCAGCAGCAGGGTATAAACATTCCCTTTTCTCCACAGCCTCACCATCATGTTATTTTCTGACTTTTTAATAATAGAAATTCTGATTGGTGAGCGATGGAACCTCAATGTGGTTTTGATTTGCATTTCTTTAATGGTTAGTGATGAGCAGTTTTTCATGTTTGTTGACTGTGTGTATGTCTTCTTCTGAGACGTGTCTGTTCACAAGTTTTGCCTATTTTTTATAGAGTTATTTTTTTGTTTGTTAATTTGTTTAAGTTCCTTGTAATTCTGGTTATTAGGCTTTTGTGAGATGCATAGTTTGCAAATATTTTTTCCCGTTCTGTAGGGTTACTCTGTTGATAACTTTCTTTGCTCTACAGAAGCTCTTTAGATTAATTAGGTGTCACTTGTCAATTTTGGTTTTGTTGCAATTGTTTTTGGAATCCTTGTCATGAAATCTTCACCAGGGCCTATGTCAGAATGGTATTTTCTAGGTTTTTTTCTAGGGTTTTTATAGTTTTAGGTTTTACATTTAAATCCTTAACCCATCTTTAGTTGATTCTTGTATATGGTGAAAGATAAAGGTCCAGTTTCAGTCTTCTGCATATGGTTAGCCAGTTATCCCAGCACCATTTATTAAATAGCCCTTTCCCTATTGCTTGGAGAAACAGAATTTTAAGGATGAGTTTAACCAGTTAATTTTGAGGTTTGTGGAATTGACTCTCTAATGAGGCATAAAAATGCTAAGGACTCTACTTCCAATAGCACAGAGAGCACTGACAATCCATGTCATGAATTGTTCACAGAGATATGGAAAATATCTGCATTGCATACTTCTAATCAACTCCTTTTAAGAGTCAAGGAACTTGGTAACTTCATGTATGATACTTTCATACATTTGTGGAAAAATAAGGAATATAAAGACATTGGTTTGTTACTGCTAGACAAAGGGAGGAAAGAAGTGGATGAGCTCAGGGTTTTGAATTCCTGGCTTTAGCTCTACATAAATAGCTTAAGAGCTTCTAAATACATCCTGAAGGAAAATCTCTCCTGTAGCCACAAAGCTGAAATTGCTGAAAATCAAGAAAAGTTCTCATCATTTGATTGACTGACTTATAAGGAGAGTTCAATTCTCAGCATTGAAAGATGTCTAATATCAAAGAGAGGGCATTGGTTTGGAGGGAATCAGATCCTGTCAGTTAGAATAGGGATGTGTGGGAAAATCCTGGCAAAGATGCAGATATTAAACTCCTACATTGTGAGTCTTGCTTTCCAGTTTTAGTGACCTCCCCACACCCTAGTGGTGGTAGCCTCCTCACCCATAGTGGTATCTCCCTTCCCAAGGTGATTAAATCTGCATTGCCTGAGGAAACTCTAATGGCCTCTTCCGAGGTAGTTGCTGAGCAAGACAATGCTAATTCTTCTTAGGATTCATTTCATCAACCTTCTTTGCTTCTATAGCATAAATAGACTCAAGTCCCAGCAGACCACTAAGGTGAGATACAAAGTTTGACACATGAGGAGGTGCACTCCACCGCAAAAGAACTGCTTGAGTTCTCTGATTTATACAACAGAAATCTAGGAAACAAGGGTGGGAACAGATACTAATAGTGTGGAATAATGGTGGAAGGATCATAAATTTTATTCTGGCTAAATTTATTGATATGGGCTCACTCAACAGATATTCAATGTTACAGGTTGAAGAGTTTGTTAAAAAGAGAGCTCCCCTTTATTATTTTTTATTGCGTCTATTTGATTCTTCTCTCTTCTTATTAGTTTTGCTAGCGGTCTAACTACCATCAGAGAATACTACAAACACCTCTACGCAAATAAATTAGAAAATCTAGAAGAAATGGATAAATTCCTGGACACATACACCCTCCCAAGACTAAACCAGGAAGAAGTTGAATCTCTGAATAGACCACTAACAGGCTCTGAAATTCTGGAAATAATCAATAGCTTACCAACCAAAAAGAGTCCAGGACCAGATGGATTCACAGCCGAATTCTACCAGAGGTACAAGGAGGAACTGGTACCATTCCTTCTGAAACTATTCCAATCAACAGAAAAAGAGGGAATCCTCCCTAACTCATTTTATGAGTTATGAGGCCAGCATCATCCTGATACCAAAGCCGGGCAGAGACACAACAAAAAAAAGAGAATTTTAGACCAATATCCTTGATGAACATTGATACAAAAATCCTCAATAAAATACTGGCAAACCGAATCCAGCAGCACATCAAAAAGCTCATCTACCATGATCAAGTAGGCTTCATCCCTGGGATGCAAGGCTGGCTGAATATACGCAAATCAATAAATGTAATCCAGCATATAAACAGAACCAAAGACAAAAACCACATGATTATCTCAACAGATGCAGAAAAGGCCTTTGACAAAATTCAACAACACTTCATGCTAAAAACTCTCAATAAATTAGGTATTGATGGGATGTATCTCAAAATAATAAGAGCCATCTATGACATACCCATAGCCAATATCATACTGAATGGACAAAAACTGGAAGCATTCCCTTTGAAAACTGGCACAAGACTGGGATGCCCTCTCTCACCACTCCTATTCAACATAGTGTTGGAAGTTCTGGCCAGAGCAATTAGGCAGGAGAAGGAAATAAAGTGTATTCAATTAGGAAAAGAGGAAGTCAAATTGTCCCTGTTTGCAGATGACATGATTGTATATCTAGAAAACCCCATTGTCTCAGCCCAAAATCTCCTTAGGATGATAAGCAACTTCAGCAAAGTCTCAGGATACAAAATCAATGTACAAAAATCACAAGCATTCTTATACACCAATAACAGACAGAGAGCTAAATCATGAGTGAACTCCCATTCACAGTTGCTTCAAAGAGAATAAAATACCTAGGAATCCAACTTACAAGGGACGTGAAGGACCTCTTCAAGGAGAACTACAAACCACTGCTCAATGAAATAAAAGAGGATACAAAGAAATGGAAGAACATTCCATGCTCATGGGTAGGAAGAATCAATATCTTGAAAATGTCCATACTGTCCAAGGTAATTTATAGATTCAATGCCATCCCCATCAAGCTACCAATGACTTTCTTCACAGAATTGGAAAAAACTACTTTAAAGTTCGTATGGAACTACAAAAGAGCCCACATCACCAAGTCAATCCTAAGCCAAAAGAACTAAGCTGGAGGCATCACACTACCTGACTTCAAACTATACTACAAGGCTACAGTAACCAAAACAGCATGGTACTGGTACCAAAACAGAGATATAGATCAATGGAACAGAACAGAGCACTCAGAAATAATGCCGCATATCTACAACTATCTGATCTTTGACAAACCTGACAAAAACAAGCAATGGGGAAAGGATTCCCTGTTTAATAAATGGTGCTGGGAAAACTGGCTAGTCATATGTAGAAAGCTGAAACTGGATCCCTTCCTTACACCTTATACAAAAATTAATTCAAGATGGATGAAAGACTTAAACGTTAGACCTAAAACCATAAAAACCCTAGAAGAAAACCTAGGCATTACCATTCAGGACATAGGCATGGGCAAGGACTTCATGTCTAAAACACCAAAAGCAATGGCAACAAAAGACAAAATTGACAAATGGGATCTAATTAAACTAAAGAGCTTCTGCACAGCAAAAGAAACTACCATCAGAGTGAACAGGCAACCTACAAAATGGGAGAAAGTTTTCGCAACCTACTCATCTGACAAAGGGCTAATATCCAGAATCTACAATGAACTCAAATAAATTTACAAGAAAAAAACAAACAACCCCATCAAAAAGTGGGCGTAGGACATGAACAGACACTTCTCAAAAGAAGACATTTATGCAGCCAAAAAACACATGAAAAAATGCTCACCATCACTGGCCATCAGAGAAATGCAAATCAAAACCACAATGAGATAGCATCTTACACCAGTTAGAATGGCGATCATTAAAAAGTCAGGAAGCAACAGGTGCTGGAGAGGATGTGCAGAAATAGGAGCACTTTTACACTGTTGGTGGGACTGTAAACTAGTTCAACCATTGTGGAAGTCAGTGTGGCAATTCCTCAGGGATCTAGAACTGGAAGTACCACTTGACCCAGCCATCCCATTACTGGGTATATACCCAAAGGACTATAAATCATGCTGCTATATAAAGACACATGCACACATATGTTTATTGTGGCATTTTTCACAATTGCAAAGACTTGGAACCAACGCAAATGTCCAACAATGATAGACTGGATTAAGAAAATGTGGCACATATACACCATGGAATACTATGCAGTCATAAAAAATGATGAGTTCATGTCCTTTGTAGGGACATGGATGAAATTGGAAATCATCATTCTCAGTAAACTATCACAAAGACAAAAACCAAACACCGCATGTTCTCACTCATAGGTGGGAATTGAACAATGAGAACACATGGACACAGGAAGGGGAACATCACACTCTGGGGACTGTTGTGGGGTGGGGGAGTGGGGAGGGATAGCATTAGGAGATATAACTAATGCTGAATGACGAGTTAATGGGTGCAGCACACCAGCATGGCACATGTATACATATGTAACTAACCTGCACATTGTGCACATGTACCCTAAAACTTAAAGTATAATAATAATAAAATAAAAAAAAGGGAGCTCCCTCTTTTTCCAAGTTTCCCTTGAAACACTTCCAAGTTCAGTGGGCAAAAGTCTAATTGTTTAGTTGGCTGAAACACAGACCAAAAAATGGCCCACCTGGAGTGAGTGGGAGGTCCCTGATCTCCTTTGGGTTAAGTTTCAAGAAATTCAACGTATATGCACCCACAAAAATTAAAAATAAACAAAGATAAAAAAAATGCAATATTTGAGAAGAGTCCCAGGATCCTTGAAAAGCTTCATGATTGCTCTTCTCTGCAGGCCAGATTTTACAGTGAGAATCACAGCCATTCCATTGGAAAACAGAAATGCAATGAGAATAATTGTATTCCAGGGTAGCAGGGTCAAGTGGCAGCACAAAGCTACCAAAGGCAAGGTTGATGTAGTTACCATAATAGACAGCAGAGACAAAGCAACAATCAGAATTGTGTGCTTTGTGTTGACCTGTGGCTTTGGCTAGTTAACCATGGTGTTGCTGGAAGTGAAATAGATAGGAAGCCTGCTAAATTCCTGCTTGATTTGTAAAAGCAGAAAACTTGAAAGTTCAGTGGGCAAAAATCTAACTCAAATAATAAAAACAGGGAATCACGGCCCCTCAATCGATTCCTGGACTTGAGCTAGTTTACAGACCCAGAACCCCTTGAATGAATGGGAGGCCAGATTTTTTCCAAGAAGGACCCCAGTAAACTAACTATTTATACTGCTAATCTTCTTCCCAAGCCTTCCCCAAAGGGACCCATGGCCTTTTACCAGAATAACTATGCACTGGGGAAAAGGAGGATAAAAAAAAGACCTTCTGGGTATTACTGGACACCTGCTCTAATCTGACATTGATTTCAGGAAACCAGAAATGTCACTGTGACTCTCTGGTCAGGTTAGGGGATTACAGAGGTCAGGCGATTTTAGCTCAGGTCTGACTTACAATGGCTCCAGTGGGCCCCAGGAACCACCCTGTGGTTATTTCTCCAGTTCCAGAATGGATATTTAGTTAAACATATGTCAGAGTTGTCACATCCTCACATTAGTTTCCTAAACTGTGGAGTGAGGGCTATAACGGTGGGAAAATGCAAATGAAAGACATTAGAGCTTCCTTTACCTAGGGAAATAATAAATCTTCCCACAATGTTTTCTAATTCTCATTGTAGAGACCTTTCACCTTTGTTAGCTGCCTTCATAGGTATTTTATTCGGTTTCTGGCTAGTGTGAATGGGATTACATTCTTGATTTGGTTCTCAGCTTGGACATTATTGGTATATAAAATGCTACTGATTTTTGTACATTGATTTTTGTACCCTAAAATTTTACTAAAATTATTTATCAGTTCTACAATCTTTTAGATAATGACTATGGAGTTTTCTAGGTATACAATTATATTGCCTGTGAGGAGAGATAATTTAACTTCCTCGCTTCCTATTTGGTGCCTTTACTTTCTTTCTCCCACTTGACTGCAATAGCTAGGCCTTCGATTACTCTGTTAAATAGGAGTGTTGAGAGTAGGCATCTTCGTCTTATCCCAGTTCTCAGAGGGAATGATTTCAGCTTTCTCACATTCAGTATGACATTGGCTGTGGGTTTGTCAAAGATTAATCTTATTATTTTGAGGTATGTTCCTTCAATGCCTACTTTTTTAAGGGTTTTTAATGTAAACGGATGTTGAATTTTTATTGGTAGACCTTTTTGCATCCATTGGAATGATTATGTGATTTTTCTGTTTTGAGTTCTGTTTGTGGGATGAATCACATTTATTGATTTTTGTGTGTTGAACCAACTTTTTATCCCAGGAATAAAGCCTGCTTGATCATAGTGGATTATCTTTTTGAGTGCTGTTAGATTCAGTTTGCTAGTATTTGGTTGAGGATTTTTCCTTTGATGCTCATCAGAGATATTGGCCTGTAGTATTCTTTGTTGTTGTTGTTGTTTCTCTGCCAGGTTTGGATATCAGAATAATGCTGGCCACATAGAAGGAGTTAGAGAAGAGTCCTTCCTCCTCTATTTATTTTTTTTTTTTGAATAATTTCAGGAGGATTGGTACCAGGTTCTCTTTATACTTCTGGTGGAATTCAGCTGGGAATCCATCTGATGCTGGGATTCTGCTTCTTGGTAGGAATTTTATTACTGATTCAATTCTGGTACCTGTAATTGGTCTGTTCAGGGTTTCAATTTCTTCCCAGTTTAGTCTTGGGAGATTATATGTTTCCAGGAATTTATTAATTTATTCTAAGTTTTCTAGTTTGTGTGCATAGAGGTGTTCATAATAGTCTCTTAGGGTTCTTTTAGTTTTTGCATTTCTATGGGGCTGGTTGTAGTATCCCCTTTCTCATTTCTGATTGCTTTTATTTGGATCTTCTCTCTTTTTGATTAGTCTAGCTAGTGGTCTGTCAATCTTATTCATTCTTTCAAAGAACAAACTAGTTTTCATTGAGCTTTTGTATGTTTTTTCACATCTCAAATTTGTTCACTTCAGTCCTGTTTTTATGGATTTCTTTTCAACTGCTAGCTCTGAGATTGGCTTGCACTCATTTTTCTAATTTCTCTAGGTGTGCTGTTAGGTTGTTAATTTGAGATCTTCTAACTTGTTGATGTGGGTATTTACTGCTGTCAACTTTTCTTTTAACACTGCTCTAGTGAGTCCCAGAGACTCTGGTGGGTTGTATCTTTGTTTTCATTAGTTTTAAAAATTTTCTTGATTCCTGCCTTAATTTCATTGATTACCCAAAACTCATTTGGGAGCAGATTGTTTAATTTCCATATAATTGTATAGTTTTCAGAGATCTTATTGTTATTGAGTTTTATTTTATCACTCTGTGTCTGAAAGCATGGTTGGCGTATGTCAGGTTTTTGAATTAGTAGAGAATCGCTTTATGACCAAGTATGTGGTTGATTTTAGAGTATGTGCCAGGTGCAGATGGGAAGAATGCATATTCTGTTGCTGGGTGGAGTATTCTGTAGATGTCTGTTAGGTTCATTTGGTCAAGTGTGGAATATAGATCCCAAATATCTTTGTTAGGTTTATGCCATAATGATCTGTCTACTACTATCAGTGGTTTTTCAAAATCCTTCACTATAATTGTGTGGTTACCTAAGTTCGTCATAGGTATCAAGTAACTTGTTTTATGAATCTGGGTCCTCTGCTGTTGTGAGCATATATATTTAGGATAGTTAAATCTTCTTGTTGAATTGAACTCTTCACCATTATTTAATGCCCTTCTTTTCCTTTTTGATCATTGCTGGTTTAAAGTCTGTTTTGTTTGTAATAAAAATAGCAACTCGTACTCTTTTTCATTTTATGTTTTCTTGATAGAGCTTTCCCTATCCCTTTACTTTGAGTCTGTAGGTGTCATCAGTTTTGAGATGTGTCTCTTGAAGACAACATACAGTTGGGTCTTGCTTATCTATCCAACTTGTCCCTCTGTGCCTTTCACATGGGGCATTTAACCAATTTACATTAAAAGTTAATATGGTGATGTAAAGATTTGATCCTGTCATCATGTTGTTAACTGATTGTGTAGACTTAATTTTATAGTTGCTTTATAGTGTCAATGGGCTATGTACTTAACCTATATTTTTGTGGGGCCAAGTAACAGTCTTGTTTCCATATGCAGCACTCCATTAAGGATCCTTGTAAGACATGTAATTAGAAAAAAAAAAGATCCTAAAATTCATGTGTAACAACAACAACAAAAAAAACCCAAATAGAAAAGCAATCCTAAGCAAAAGGAACAAAACTGGGGACATAAGACTAACCAACTTCAAACTCTACTGCAAGTCTCTAGTAATCAAAATAGCATGGTACTGGCACAAAAACAGACACATAATTCAGTTGAACAGGTTAGAGAACCCAGAAATACAACTGCATACCTACAACCATCTGATCATTAGCAAAATCGACAAAGGCCCTGTGTTCAATAAATGGTGCTGGGATACCTGGCTAGCCATATGCAGAAGATAATACCTACACCCCTACATTTCACCATACATAAAAATAAGTTCAAGATGGATTAAAGACTTAAATGTGAAACCCAAAACTCTTTTTAAATAACTATAAGAAATCCTAGAAAATACTATTGTGACCATAGGCCTGGGCAAAGATTTCATGATGAAGTCTCCAAAGACAATTACCACAAAAACAAAAATAGAAAAGTAGGACCTAATTAAACTAAAGATCTTCTGCATAGCAAAAGAAACTATCAACAGAGTAAACAGAAAACCTACAGAATGACAGAAAATATTTGCAAACTATGCATCTGTCAAACGGTTAATATCCAGCATCTATAAGGAACTTACACAAATCAACAAGCAAAAAATAAACACCTCCATTAAAACATGCACAAAGGATATGAACAGACATGTCTCAAAAGAAGACATACATGCAGCCAACCAGCATATAAAACATGCTTAATGTCACTAACCATTAGAGAAATGCAAATCAAAACCACAATGAGATACCATCTCACACAACTCAGAATGGCCATTATTAAAAAGTCAGAAAATAACAGATGTTCATGGCTGTGGAGAAAAGGGAATGTTTATACACTGCTCATGGGAATGAAAATTAGCTCAACCATTGTGGAAAGCAGTTTGGAAACTTCTCAAAGAATTTAAAACAGAGCTACCATTCAATCCAGCCATCCCATTATTGAGTATATACCCAAAGGAATATAAATTATTTTACCAAAACAACACATATAAGCTTATGTTCATCATAGCACTGTTCACAATAGCAAAGAAATTAAGTCAACCTATTATAGATGCTCATCAGTGGTGGACTGGATAAAGAAAGCATAGTACGTGAACAACATGGATTACTATTTTGTCTTTTTTATGGCTGCATATGATTCCACAGTGTACATGTACCACATTTTCCAAAAAACAAATCTAAGAAGTGTTGGCAAGGATGTGAAAAAAGAGAACCCTTATACGCTGTTGGTGAGAATGTAAATAAGTACAGCCATTAAAGAAAGCAACTTAAATGTTCCAGTTAAAAGTACAAATAGAACTACCACGTAATCCAGCAGTCTCTTTTCTGGTGTATATCCAATGAAGTGAAAACAGAATTTCAGAGAGATATCTGCACTCCCACGCTCATTGCACCATTCTTCACAGTAGCCAACATATGGAAACAACTTAAGTGTCTATCAATGGATAAATGGAGAAAGAAAATGTGGTGTAGGCATACAGTGAAATATTATTCAGTGTCATAAAAGAAGGAAATCCTGACACTTTCAACTATATTGATGAACCTGGAGAGCATTAGACTAAATGCAATAAGCCAGGCACAGAAAGACAAATACTGTATGATCACACATGTGTGTGGTATGTAAAAAAGTTGAATTCATTGAAACAGAGTAGAAAGGTGTTATACACTCTCTGAGGGAATGTGGAGGAGAATGGGTAGATGTTAATGAAAGGGTATAATCTTTCATTTGCAAGATAAACAAGTTCTGGATATTTTATATACAGCATATAAGGATATGGATATGTTAATGAATTTGATTGTGATAATCATTAAATAATATGTACACATATCAAGTCAACACATTTCAATATCTAATATGTTAATTTGATAACTGTATATTTATTTTTTGAATAAAAATAAGTAACATTAATAGAAAATTTTTAACAGAAATCTTTACTTAAAAGCTTTTGATAATGTAATATGATGAGTACCGTAAAAAATAATTTATTGTACACTAAAAACTAAAATAATTGAATTATAAATCTACAGTAATCAAGAACAGCATAGAGTTCAGAAATTGATCCATATATATATATATAGCCAATACAATTTCACAAAATACCAAAGTAAATCTATATAAAAATGATGGTGTTTTGAAAAATGGTAGTGGATAAATTGGAAATTAATTTGTGATAAAAATAAAAGAAAAAAAGAAAGAGAAAAAGAAAGAAAGGATGGAAGAAATAAACCACAAATCCTTCATTAAACTGCATATCAAAATAGAGGGGAAAATGATAGACCTAATTTAAAACTTGAAACAACAGAAAACACTTAAATAAAACAGAAGAAAATCTTTTTGACCTGGGGTTAGGAAAATATTTCTTAGACATTACACAAGAAAACACAAACATATAAGTAAAGCCTCATAAATTCCATTATACTTCTTTATATTTAATTCCTCTCCTTCCTCTAGTCCCTGACAACCACTGGGAAACCACAGATGTGATTTCTGTAATTCTTTTCCCCTTTTTAGAATATGATCTAAGTGAAATCATACAACTTGTAGCCTTTCAAATCAGGCTTTCTTCCTTACTGTGATGTTTTGAAATTCAACCATGCTGTTGCTTGTATCATTTTATTTGTTTCTGTGGGTTTTTTTCTTTTTTGCCTTTATAAGAATGAAACTTCCAAAAGCAATGGACTTAATAATGACTGCTAAGTAGTATTCCATTCTCTTACATAACACTAATTGAGAGAAAATGACATTGTTTCCAAATAAGAGCCATTATAAATAAAGCTTGTCTTTGTATCTATGTACTTGCTTCACTTAATTGAAATTACCTTCTGCTTATAAAAAGCTACTCTCAAAAATGTAAAGTCAAGGCATAAACTGAAAGCATGCATTGTGAAAGTGCATATGCATTAAAGGACTTGTATCCAGGGTATAAAAGGAACTATGAAAAAACAGTAATAATAAAACGAACAACCAAAGAGAAAATTTTCACGGACATTTTACCAAAACAACAAAAAATAGTGATAGCAAGAAAACATATAAAATGTTTAAAATGATTAGTTGTTAGGGAAATTCAAATTAAAACCACAATGAGAAATAATGGCACATCTATCAGACTAGCTAAAAAATGTAAAAGAAAGAAAATGCCAAGTGCTGGTAATGATTTAGAGCAACGGGAACTCCCAGACATTGTTGTGTTGACACAAAACACCGTTTTAAAATGTTGTCAAAGTTTGTCAGTCTCTTAAATAGCTTTTACTTACCTTATGATCCAATAGACTTCCAGTTATTACCCAAGTGAAATTTTAAAAATATGTAGATACAAAGACAAGCTTTATTTATAATGGCTCTTATTTGGAAACAATGTCATTTTCTCTCAATTAGTTTTACATAATGGAATGGACTACTACTTAGTAGTCCATTAGTCCATTGCTTTTGGAAGTTTCTTTTTTATAAAGGCAAAAAAACCTCACAAAAAACAAAGTGATAAAAGAACAACATGGTTGAATTTCAAAACATCATAGTAAAGATGAAGGCCTGATTTGAAAGGCTATAAGCTGTATGATTTCACTTAGATCATACTCTAAAAAGGGGAAAAGAATTACAGAAATCACATCTGTGGTTTCCCAGTGGTTGTCAGGGACTAGAGGAAGGAGAGGAATTAAATATAAAGAAATATAATGGAATCTATGAGGCTAAATGAAATATTCTGTCTTAATTGTGGTAGTTGTTACAAGACTGTATGTGTTGTCAAAGCTCATCAAACTGTACCCTTAAGAATGAAAGTTTTTCCATTGGTAAACTAGTTCAACCATTATGGAAGTCGGTGTGGCAATTCCTCAGGGATCTAGAACTAGAAATACCATTTGACCCAGCCATCCCATTACTGGGTATATACCCAAAGGATTATAAATCATGCTGTTATAAAGACACATGCACACGTATGTTTATTACGGCACTATTCACAACAGCAAAGACTTGTAACCAACCCAAATGTCCAACAATGATAGACTGGATTAAGAAAATGTGTCACATATACACCATGGAATACTATGCAGCCATAAAAAAGGATGAGTTCATGTCCTTTGTAGGGACATGGATGAAGCTGGAAACTATCATTCTCAGCAAACTATCGCAAGGACAAAAAACCAAACACTGCATGTTCTCACTCCTAGGTGGGAATTGAACAATGAGAACACATGGACACAGGAAGGGGAACATCACACACCGGGGACTGTTGTGGGGTTGGGGAGAGGGGAGGGATAGCATTAGGAGATATACCTAATGCTAAATGACGAGTTAATGGGTGCAGCACACCAACATGGCACATGTATACATATGTAACAAACCTGCACGTTGTGCACATGTACCCTAAAACTTAAAGTATAATAATAATTTAAAAAAAGAAAAAAAATGAAAGTTTTTTGTAGGAAAGCTATACCACAATGGCTTTAAGAAATTAATGGTTTCTAAGGCCGTATTGTCCCCATTTAAACATTCATGAATTAAAGTATTTTTATTCATTGTTCTTTCTGCTTCTTCCTGAATAAACTCCTTTCAAAACTTTAAATTAAAACTTCCAGTTCATTCTACTTTTTCAGTCTTTGCTTTTTTAAGGTTTGATAACATCAATCTCTTCTTTTTTCATAGTATTATCTTCTCTCCTTGATTCTAACAAAATTCATGAATTGAGAATATATTGTTTTTCCTCCATCTCTTTCAATTCACAGTTGAGTTTCTCCAGTAAAAATTATTTCACATACTTTCATTCCTTAAGTTATGTATTCTTACATACATAAGCAGATAAATATTGAAAATATAATAGGTAATAATCAATCATGGCATAGGTCTTGATGGCATTGTATTAGTCCATTCTCACACTGCTAATAAAGATGTACCTAAGATGGGGTAATTTATAAAGGAAAGAAGTTCAATTGAATCACAGTTAAGCATGGCTGGAGAGGCCTCAGGGAACTTACAATCATGGCAGAAGGGGAAGCAAACATATTCTTCTTCACATGGCAGCAGCAAGGAGAAGTAGAATGAGCAACAGAGTGAAAAGTCCCTTATAAAACCATCAGATCTCATGGGAACTCACTCACTATCACAAAAGAACAGCATTAGGGTAACCACTCCCATGATTCAATTACCTCCCATGGTGTCCCTCCTATGACATGTGAGGATTATGGAAACTACAATTCAAGATGAGATTTGGGTAGGGACACAGCCAAACCATATCAGACATGATGGTGAGATCTTTAAAAGTCAACTTTTTAACAAATTTCTTGCATTATGTTAGAGGCCTCCCTTTAGATGCTGATGTCTCCTACGTGCTTTGAAGATTGGAGGATTAGATTCACTATGAGATATACATACACACACGCTACATATACACATACACGTAAACATACACACATATATATACACATATAAGCTAAAATGGAGCATGATAGGAAATAGCGAGCTAGGTATTAGTTCTTTATGTTGAAGATTGTGTTCAAGTTTATTCCTCTACTTACCAACAGTTTATCTTTGGGGAAGTTGTTTAACAGATTAAAGCCTTACTTTTTTCATCTATAAAATGTGCGAATAATAATGTCAACCTGAAAGACTGGTTGAGAGAAGTAATTGAGAATTTAAACAAAATAATTAACATAGCAATTGCTGCATTATGAGTTCCCTATGCAAATAGACTCTCTTTGCATTTGAATACCCAATGTAGTATATTTTACGTTGTCTTCTTTTTGAATTTAGATCTAGAAAATCTATAGCTTCATGTCTTTGCAGGATAAGAATCACAAATAGTAACGGCAAAAACCAACACAATTTCAAAATCATAAATATATAATAATTTTTAAATCTATTGTGCTATTTGCTCAGGTTATAGGATTTCTTTAAAAATCATACAATAGATATTTATTAACTACCCTTTCTCACTACCTTTATACAGGAAAATAGCTGAATTTTAAGTCACACCGAAAAAAAGAGGGGTGCACCCACATACTAAAATGGCACAGGGGGAGAACGATAGTTTAGTCACGCACTTAGAATAAGCTAAAAATACAGACACAGAGAGAGTCAGTGTAGATAGACAATTATTTTCCAGAGGTCACAAACCACTTTATGATGTAAGACTTTCATAATGTCTGATTCCATACATCTCTATGTGATCATATTATATTTAATATTGTTTTGAGACAGAGCTCCTGCCTGTAGAGAATTGACTCTGCAATTAATAGCTATAATCTACTCCCCATGGTTACCCTGTCTTCTTGGAGAAAAACAAAATACAAGTGCAGTAACAAGTATTTAATCATAAGGCATCTTAAGATTTTACCAATAGATAATTCAATTTTCCACTGCATTTTTTAAATTAAATTTTCTTCTTTTATTTTTAAGCTCCAACTAAGAACCTCTGATAAAAAAAAAATAATAGTTACTTACTTAGGTAAGTAGCCATCTGGGGAGGAAGTTTTAAAGATTTGGTAATGTTATTAAGTAAGGTGGATAGGTACCCTGTCGGCTGCTTCTTGGAATTAACTTGATAATGGACATTGTAGTATAACAATCATTTGGTTTACTTTTAAAACATCACTAAATTATTTTTAAGGATACAATAGATGTGAAAATATTGATTATTTGAAATGGTCACTCTTTTTGCTGCTTAGGGCTACACATAAGCCATTCTCAAGAGATAAAGTATGAATTTTGGAGTTGAAGAATGTACAGAGTGATTTTGAGAAAATTAAAAAAGAATGCATTGAGTTAAATTCACATACCTGCTCTGAGAATGGGAGAAATTTTAGCAAGAATATTTTTATTATTTTACATTTTGGATGTGGGCTAGTATAGAAACAATAGAACAAAGTATTTGTATTCACAGAAATAGAGTATGTGGACTTCAGCCAGTGATTTGAGAAGCCTACAACTCCAATTCAATACAATCAATTGTTTATTACATGTAAATGCTTACCCATGGGTCCTCTAATATTCCTCTTACTTCAGTAATTATGACATATTATTCTGGGTTTTTGTTTATTTATTTGCCATATGTGACTGTCCTATTAACACTTCTTTTTTTTTTTTTTTGTAAACTTTTAGAGAGGAAAATATGTGCAACTAATACAAAGTTTACACAAAATATATTTCTCATAAATGACCAGAAAAAATTATACCTCACTGACTGAGTTCGTCCTATTGGGATTAGCAGACACGCTGGAGCTACAGATTATCCTCTTTTTGTTTTTTCTTGTGATTTATACACTTACAGTACTGGGAAATCTCGGGATGATCCTCTTAATCAGGATCGATTCCCAGCTTCACACACCCATGTATTTCTTCCTGGCTAACCTGTCCTTTGTGGACGTTTGTAACTCAACTACCATCACCCCAAAGATGCTGGCAGATTTATTATCAGAGAAGAAAACCATCTCTTTTGCTGGCTGCTTCCTACAGATGTACTTCTTTATCTCCCTGGCGACAACCGAATGCATCCTCTTTGGGTTAATGGCCTATGACAGGTATGCGGCCATATGTCGCCCGCTGCTTTACTCCTTGATCATGTCCAGGACCGTCTACCTAAAAATGGCAGCCGGGGCTTTTGCTGCAGGGTTGCTGAACTTCATGGTCAACACAAGCCATGTCAGCAGCTTGTCATTCTGTGACTCCAATGTCATCCATCACTTCTTCTGTGACAGTCCCCCACTTTTCAAGCTCTCTTGTTCTGACACAATCCTGAAAGAAAGCATAAGTTCTATTTTGGCTGGTGTGAATATTGTGGGGACTCTGCTTGTCATCCTCTCCTCCTACTCCTACGTTCTCTTCTCCATTTTTTCTATGCATTCGGGGGAGGGGAGGCACAGAGCTTTCTCCACGTGTGCCTCTCACCTGACAGCCATAATTCTGTTCTATGCCACCTGCATCTATACTTACCTGAGACCTAGTTCCAGCTACTCCCTGAATCAGGACAAAGTGGCTTCTGTGTTCTACACAGTGGTGATTCCCATGTTGAATCCTCTGATCTACAGCCTCAGGAGTAAGGAAGTAAAGAAGGCTTTAGCGAATGTAATTAGCAGGAAAAGGACCTCTTCCTTTCTGTGATTGTTTGGCTAAAAATCTCAACTAAAGAGCATATTTTAGTTACTTTCAAAGTCTAGTTTATATCTACATTTTTTTATTAGAATATTTTCTCAGTAAACACATTCTGTTAATAGTTGTATCCAGTTAGGGATAAAGAAAGTTACCAAACTGATTCAAGATCATGGCATGTTGACTTTACTATGATTCTATATATCTTTGTTAGGTTCTCCAAAATAATGAATATTTTTAAATGAAATTTCATCTAGAAATCAAATGGAATATATGTTCACAGACCAAAGCCACAATGATACATGAAACTGGAAATATAAAATAATTTCTATTATCCATTCTTTTTTTCTTATGCATTATTTTTCACCATTTATGATTTTTAAGGGATTGTTAAATATCACATAGGTGAGAAATGCTATAAGTTTAATATATATTTCTCCTTTGTATTCACTGAACTACTTCTTGGGGGAATAAAATCAAATTTTAGGACTATAGTTTTAATAGGAATTCTAAACTCTGCTTTTTTTACCTCCTCTCTCTCTCTCTCTCTCTCTGCCTGTCTGTCTTTCTCTCTCTCTCTCTCACACACACACACACACACACACACATGCATGAGTGTATTTAAAGAATGTGAGAGTTTCTGCAAAAATGTGCTATCAAGAAAACTCTAATTAGTATGCATCAATTACAGCTATTCTTTTATTCTCTTTCATTCTGCTCCAAATTTTCTAGCCCTGTCCCTCCCTCTTTCCTTGAGACAGACACACATTCAGAAAGACACATGCACACATGTTCAAGTGCTGCAAAGATTTTAATCATTGCATAGTTGCAAGTGATAGATTAATATTCGGTGAATGAATCTGACAAATATTCTTCAAAATAAGTTCTTGGAATTTCCGTTCACAAAAGTCTTTTCTCAATTGCAATGACGTATTAATTGAAAATGGTATTTGTATTAAATGTAGGCATTAATAATGTGGAGATAAACAGGAAGTTGCCTTGGTAGAACTCTGAAAGAAGCTGAGTTGGGGCTGTGACTTGGTAAGGAGACAGACACTTTTATGGAGGGAAATTCCCCATGGCTCTTGCTCTTGACCTTGTCAGTGAATTTGCACCTGATAGAAGTGGCGATGTTCACATCATCTGGGATGTGGGCACAGCAGACACTATGGCCTGTCACAAAATGTTGCCCAACTCCACCATCTTATTTCCCTCAATGGTTCATTTGGGTGAATTTGGCCAGATAGATGTTCATGAATAATTTGGTGTTGTCTATGCACCTACAGATTATTCTCTCACCTTACTGGACCACAGTGGTTACCGGGCCCTGGAGCCCTGTCCACTAAGCAGCTCACCTATGGTTTCCATACCAGCTGACCGCTGTATTATCTCTGCCTCCCCTGTACTGGTATGATTTAATGGAATTACATATGGGACTAAAATATTGTACAAGTAAATGCTTATATTTCTTTTGATGTAGAACTTAGAAACAATGTTTGGGAGATGAAATCCAGTTATTTTGAGATTCGGAGCTTTAGACGTGTTTTGAGCTATGCTCCCTACCCTCTAATTCAAGTCTCTTATGTCTAAACTCACAAAGTCTACAAATATTTTAAAATCAAGAGCTCTTATCACTTGGTGATTTTGCTTAGTTTTTAATTCATTGAATGTGTACTTTTTTTTTTTTAATTAAAGTTTTAGGGTACATGTGCACATTGTGCAGGTTAGTTACATATGTATACATGTGCCATGCTGGTGCGCTGCACCCACTAACTCGTTGTCTAGCATTAGGTATATCTCCCAATGCTGTCCCTCCCACCTCCCCCCTCCCCCTAGCCCACAACAGTCCCCAGAGTGTGATATTCCCCTTCCTGTGTCCATGTGATTTCATTGTTCAATTCCCACCTATGAGTGAGAATATGCGGTGTTCAGTTTTTTGTTCTTGCGATAGTTTACTGAGAATGATGACTTCCAATTTCATCCATGTCCCTACAAAGGACATGAACTCATCATTTTTTATGGCTGCATAGTATTCCATGGTGTATATGTGCCACATTTTCTTAATCCAGTCTATCGTTGTTGGACATTTGGGTTGGTTCCAAGTCTTTGCTATTGTGAATAATGCCGCAATAAACATACGTGTGCATGTGTCTTTATAGCAGCATGATTTTACCCAGTAATGGGATGACTGCGTCAAATGGTACTTCCAGTTCTAGATCCCTGAGGAATCGCCACACTGACTTCCACAATGGTTGAACTAGTTTACAGTCCCACCAACAGTGTAAAAGTGCTCCTATTTCTGCACATCCTCTCCAGCACCTGTTGTTTCCTGACTTTTTAATGATTGCCATTCTAACTGGTGTGAGATGGTATCTCATAGTGGTTTTGATTTGCATTTCTCTGATGGCCAGTGATGATGAGCATTTTTTCATATGTTGTTTGGCTGCATAAATGTCTTCTTTTGAGAAGTGTCTGTTCATGTCCTTCACCCACTTTTTGATGGCGTTGTTTGTTTTTTTCTTGTAAATTTGTTTGAGTTCATTGTAGATTCTGGATATTAGCCCTTTGTCAGATGAGTAGGTTGCGAAAATTTTCTCCCATTTTGTAGGTTGCCTGTTCCCTCTGATGGTAGTTTCTTTTGCTGTGCAGAAGCTCTTTAGTTTAATTAGATCCCATTTGTCAATTTTGTCTTTTGTTGCCATTGCTTTTGGTGTTTTAGACATGAAGTCCTTGCCCATGCCTATGTCCTGAATGGTAAAGCCTAGGTTTTCTTCTAGGGTTTTTATGGTTTTAGGTCTAACATTTAAGTCTTTAATCCATCTTGAATTGATTTTTGTATAAGGTGTATGGGAGGGATCCAGTTTCAGCTTTCTACATATGGCTAGCCAGTTTTCCCAGCACCATTTATTAAATAGGGAATCCTTTCCCCATTGCTTGTTTTTCTCAGTTTGTCAAAGATCAGATAGTTGTAGATATGCAGTGTTATTTCTGAGGGCTCTGTTCTGTTCCATTGATCTATATCTCTGTTTTGGTACCAGTACCATGCTGTTTTGGTTACTGTAGCCTTGTAGTATAGTTTGAAGTCAGGTAGTGTGATGCCTCCAGCTTTGTTCTTTTGGCTTAGGATTGACTTGGCGATGTGGGCTCTTTTTTGGTTCCATATGAACTTTAAAGTAGTTTTTTCCAATTCTGTGAAGAAAGTAATTGGTAGCTTGATGGGGATGGCATTGAATCTGTAAATTACCTTGGGTAGTATGGCCATTTTCACAATATTGATTCTTCCTACCCATAAGCATGGAATGTTCTTCCATTTCTTTGTATCCTCTTTTATTTCCTTGAGCAGTGGTTTGTAGTTCTCCTTGAAGAGGTCCTTCACATCCCTTGTAAGTTGGATTCCTAGGTATTTTATTCTCTTTGAAGCAATTGTGAATGGGAGTTCACTCATGATTTGGCTCTCTGTTTGTCTGTTGTTTGAGTATAAGAATGCTTGTGATTTTTGTACATTGATTTTGTATCCTGAGACTTTGCTGAAGTTGCTTATCAGCTTAAGGAGATTTTGGGCTGAGACAATGGGGTTTTCTAGATATACAATCATGTCGTCTGCAAACAGGGACAATTTGACTTCCTCTTTTCCTAATTGAATACCCTTTATTTCCTTCTCCAGCCTGATTGCCCTGGCCAGAACTTCCAACACTATGTTGAATAGGAGTGGTGAGAGAGGGCATCCCTGTCTTGTGCCAGTTTTCAAAGGGAATGCTTTCAGTTTTTGCCCATTCAGTATGATATTGGCTGTGGGTTTGTCATAGATAGCTCTTATTATTTTGAAAAACGTCCCATCAATACCTAATTTATTGAGAGTTTTTAGCATGAAGGGTTGTTGAATTTTGTCAAAGGCCTTTTCTGCATCTATTGAGATAATCATATGGTTTTTGTCTTTGATTCTGTTTATATGCTGGATTACATTTATTGATTTGCGTATATTGAACCAGCCTTGCATCCCAGGGATGAAACCCACTTGATCATGGTGGATAAGCTTTTTGATGTGCTGCTGGATTCGGTTTGCCAGTATTTTATTGAGGATTTTTGCATCAATGTTCATCAAGGATATTGGTCTAAAATTCTCTTTTTTTGTTGTGTCTCTGCCTGGCTTTGGTATCAGAATGATGCTGGCCTCATAAAAAGAGTTAGGGAGGATTCCCTCTTTTTCTATTGATTGGAATAGTTTCAGAAGGAATGGTACCAGTTCCTCCTTGTACCTCTGGTAGAATTCGGCTGTGAATCCATCTGGCCTGGACTCTTTTTGGTTGGTAAGCTATTGATTATTCCCACAATTTCAGCTCCTGTTATTGGTCTATTCAGAGATTCAACTTCTTCCTGGTTTAGTCTTGGGAGAGTGTATGTGTCGAGGAATTTATCCATTTCTTCTAGATTTTCTAGTTGATTTGCATAGAGGTGTTTGTAGTATTCTCTGATGGTAGTTAGTATTTCTGTGGGATCGTTGGTGATATCCCCTTTATCATTTTTTATTGCGTCTATTTGATTCTTCTCTCTTTTTTTCTTTATTAGTCTTGCTAGCGGTCTATCAATTTTGTTGATCCTTTCAAAAAACCAGCTCCTGGATTCATTAATTTTTTGAAGGGTTTTTTGTGTCTCTATTTCCTTCAGTTCTGCTCTGATTTTAGTTATTTCTTGCCTTCTGCTAGCTTTTGAATGTGTTTGCTCTTGCTTTTCTAGTTCTTTTAATTGTGATGTTAGGGTGTCAATTTTGGATCTTTTCTGCTTTCTCTTGTGGGCATTTAGTGCTATAAATTTCCCTCTACACCCTGCTTTGAATGCGTCCCAGAGATTCTGGTATGTTGTGTCTTTGTTCTCGTTGGTTTCAAAGAATATCTTTATTTCTGCCTTCATTTCGTTATGTACCCAGTAGTCATTCAGGAGCAGGTTGTTCAGTTTCCATGTAGTTGAGTGGTTTTCAGTGAGATTCTTAATCCTGAGTTCTAGTTTGATTTCACTGTGGTCTGAGAGATAGTTTGTTATAATTTCTGTTCTTTTACATTTGCTGAGGAGAGCTTTACTTCCAAGTATGTTGTCAATTTTGGAATAGGTGTGGTGTGGTGCTGAAAAAAAATGTATATTCCGTTGATTTGAGGTGGAGATGTCTATTAGGTCCGCTTGGTGCAGAGCTGAGTTCAATTCCTGGGTATCCTTGTTGACTTTCTGTCTCGTTGATCTGTCTAATGTTGACAGTGGGGTGTTAAAGTCTCCCATTATTAATGTGTGGGAGTCTAAGTCTCTTTGTAGGCCACTCAGGACTTGCTTTATGAATCTTGGTGCTCCTGTATTGGGTGCATATATATTTAGGATAGTTAGCTCTTCTTGTTGAATTGATCCCTTTACCATTATGTAATGGCCTTCTTTGTCTCTTTTGATCTTTGTTGTTTTAAAGTCTGTTTTATCAGAGACTAGGATTGCAACCCCTGCCTTTTTTTGTTTTCCATTTGCTTGGTAGATCTTCCTCCATCCTTTTATTTTGAGCCTATGTGTGTCTCTGCACGTGAGATGGGTTTCCTGAATACAGCACACTGATGGGTCTTGACTCTTTATCCAATTTGCCAGTCTGTGTCTTTTAATTGGAGCATTCAGTCCATTTACATTTAAAGTTAATATTGTTATGTGTGAATTTGATCCTGTCATTATGATGTTAGCTCATTCTT
Source organism: Homo sapiens (assembly GCF_000001405.40). Classification (NCBI taxonomy): domain Eukaryota; kingdom Metazoa; phylum Chordata; class Mammalia; order Primates; family Hominidae; genus Homo; species Homo sapiens. Next base: position 55,987,978 of record NC_000011.10, on the reverse strand, counting down.
TTGCTGGTTAGTTGATGCAGTTTCTTCCTAGTCTGGATGGTCTTTACATTTTGGCATGATTTTGCAGCGGCTGGTACCGGTTGTTCCTTTTCATGTTTAGTGCTTCCTTCAGGAGATCTTTTAGGGCAGGCCTGGTGGTGACAAAATCTCTCAGCATTTGCTTATCTGTAAAGTATTTTATTTCTCCTTCACTTATGAAGCTTAGTTTGGCTGGATATGAAATTCTGGGTTGAAAATTCTTTTCTTTAAGAATGTTGAATATTGGCCCCCTCTCTCTTCTGGCTTGTAGGGTTTCTGCCGAGAGATCCGCTGTTAGTCTGATGGGCTTCCCTTTGAGGGTAACCTGACCTTTCTCTCTGGCTGCCCTTAACATTTTTTCCTTCATTTCAACTTTGGTGAATCTGACAATTATGTGTCTTGGAGTTGCTCTTCTCGAGGAGTATCTTTGTGGCGTTCTCTGTATTTCCTGAATCTGAACGTTGGCCTGCCTTGCTAGATTGGGGAAGTTCTCCTGGATAATATCCTGCAGAGTGTTTTCCAACTTGGTTCCATTCTCCCCATCGCTTTCCGGTACCCCAGTCAGACGTAGATTTGGTCTTTTCACATAGTCCCATATTTCTTGGAGGCTTTGCTCATTTCTTTTTATTCTTTTTTCTCTAAACTTCCCTTCTCGCTTCATTTAATTCATTTCATCTTCCATTGCTGATACCCTTTCTTCCAGTTGATCGCATCAGCTCCTGAGGCTTCTGCATTCTTCACGTAGTTCTCGAGCCTTGGTTTTCAGCTCCATCAGCTCCTTTAAGCACTTCTCTGTATTGGTTATTCTAGTTATACATTCTTCTAAATTTTTTTCAAAGTTTTCAACTTCTTTGCCTTTGGTTTGAATGTCCTCCCGTAGCTCAGAGTAATTTGATCATCTGAAGCCTTCTTCTCTCAGCTCGTCAAAGTCACCAGCTTTGTTCCGTTGCTGGTGAGGAACTGCGTTCCTTTGGAGAAGGAGAGGCGCTCTGCTTTTTGGAGTTTCCAGTTTTTCTGTTCTGTTTTTTCCCCATCTTTGTGGTTTTATCTACATTTGGTCTTTGATGATGCTGATGTAGAGATGGGTTTTTGGTGTGGATGTCCTTTCTGTTTGTTAGTTTTCCTTCTAACAGACAGGACCCTCAGCTGCATGTCTGTTGGAATACCCTGCTGTGTGAGGTGTCAGTGTGCCCCTGCTGGGGGGTGCCTCCCAGTTAGGCTGCTCGGGTGTCAGGGGTCAGGGACCCACTTGAGGAGGCAGTCTGCCCGTTCTCAGATCTCCAGCTGCGTGCTGGGAGAACCATTGCTCTCTTCAAAGCTGTCAGACAGGGACATTTAAGTCTGCAGAGGTTACTGCTGTCTTTTTGTTTGTCTGTGCCCTGCCCCCAGAGGTGGAGCCTACAGAGGCAGGCAGGCCTCCTTGAGCTGTGGTGGGCTCCACCCAGTTCGAGCTACCCGGCTGCTTTGTTTACCTAAGCAAGCCTGGGCAATGGCGGGCGCCCCTCCCCCAGCTTCGCTGCCGCCTTGCAGTTTGATCTCAGCCTGCTGTGCTAGCAATCAGCGAGACTCCGTGGGCGTAGGACCCTCGGAGCCAGGTGCGGGATATAGTCTCGTGGTGCGCCGTTTTTCAAGCCCGTCAGAAAAGCGCAGTATTCGTGTGGGAGTGACCCAATTTTCCAGGTGCCGTCCGTCACCCCTTGAATGTGTACTTTTTATGTAAATTTAATTGTTTACCTGATTCATCAGATTTATATTAGTTATTATATTTTCTTGCATATTGTTCAATGCATTTGTATAAAACAAAGTTCCTAATATTTTTATTTTATTTAACCCAAAAGAAAATTAACTTGTAAAAGCATTAAGAAACTGCTAATTATTGTATTGAATGTGATTTTCTCATCTTCTTTCTTTAGAAACTAACAATATTTCTGAAACCCTCTCTTATAAAGACAATATTTTAGTCTCTTTGTTATGCAACTATCTCTATTGCATTCCAATTTTTCTTTCTTTCTTTCTTTTTTCTTTTCAGATGGAGTCTCGCTTTGTTGCCCAGGCTGGAGTGCCTTGGCGCGATCTCGGCTCACTGCAGCCTCCGCCTCCCTGGTTCAAACAATTCCTGCCTCAGCCTCCTGAGTAGCTGGGACTATAGGCTCCCGCCACCGTGCCGGGATAATTTTTGTATTTTTTAGTAGAGACGGTGTTTCACCATATTGGCCAGGCTGGTCTCGGACCCTTGACCTTGTGATCTGCCTGCCTCAGCCTCTCAAAGTGCTGGGATTACAGGTGTGAGCCACTGTGCCAAGCCCAACTTTTCTAATTTCTAGTCTTTTCTTTCATTTAGGTGTTTATTGTTACCACATTCTCAAAATTTGCAGCTATCAACCAATGTTTTGCCTCATTTAATGGTTTTTGAATAATTTATTTGTTAAAATTATGCTATTGGCTATGTTGAGTCAATTTCTTCATCAGTAATTAGATAAGGCCAAGTGGAAACTAGTTTTCAAAATCTGTGAAGGTCCCAAAGTTAGAAAAGTAAGCAAACAAGCTGGAAAGAATGATAGAATCAAGATTCAAGGATTACCTATATCCAAATAACCCCCAAAATAAAATTATATTAATAGATGGAGACCTACATTAAGGCATAAAATGAATAGAAATCCTGTGTTATTAGTATGTAATACCAAGTTTAGATTTAGTTTATTAAATAAAAACTAATGTGCACAATGTGATTTTCATTGGTCTATTAAGATGTGAAATTAAAGATTTGTAAATTATTAAAGGTTAGTATCTAGATTAATGAAGTAATTCATTTAAATTTACATAAGTCAAATAAAATAAAAATAGTGGATTAATTCATAGGCAACATGCTTCAAGATACACTTCAGGTGTCTACATGAAAATTCAAATACAAAGTAGGTAAATTTTGAGAATATGTAATCTGTAAAAGAGGAATATTCAAATAACTTAATAGCTTTACTGAAAATACATAGAGTGCTTGTGTGTAATGAAATTTCTCGTGTCAGAAAGCGGAAAAGTGGTCATTCATTATTAAACTTAGATATAATTTTCTGCTTTGGCTAAGTAATTGGTATGTGTTAGATTTTTTTTTCGGAGGGTTTGGGTCGGGGGACGGAGTCTCTGTAGTCCAGGCTGGAGTGCAGTGGCCGTATCTCGGCTCACTGCAAGCTCCGCCTCCCAGGTTCACGCCATTCTCTTGCCTCAGCCTCCAGAGTAGCTGGGACGACAGGCGCCCGCCACCATGCCTGGCTAATCTTTCTTTAAATAGTTTTAGTAGAGACGGGGTTTCACCGTGTTAGCCAGGATGGTCTGGATCTCCTGACCTCGTGATCCGCCCGCCTCGACCTCCCAAAGTGCTGGGATTACAGGCGTAAGCCACTGCGCCCGGCCGGTGTGTGTTATCTTTATAAATTTCTTTTTTTATTTTTATTTTAATATTACTGTAAAACAGTGCACATATGCTTGTAATATCCCTGAGCTTCAGAAGACTTCTTGGGATGTGTCATCCATTTAACAAAATTATTTTCCTCATATTTGTTAGTAAAGCATGAGGTGATAAATATTAATTAAGGAACTCCAAGGCATTCTGAGGTGCAAGCAGGAGAGAAACCTGATAAAATCTTTATCAAAAACACTGAGTTTCTGAATTGGGCTCAAAACTCTCAGCCTCCTAAATTTGTATGATTATTTTAACTATGTATTGTAAAACAAATAAATAAAATGGAATTTATTAGCTAAATTTCTTTTCAGGGCATGTCAGATTCATTAACACACTGCTAAGAGAAACAGAGAAATGAAAAAAAAAAGAGGCACAGACTTGGTGAGGACTAGAATAGAAGGTTTATTAAGTTGGGAAACAGAACGCTTGTAAACAGCAGACAAATATGAAATAAATATTGAGATTTTAATTTACAGATTATAAAATCATCATGTCCAAGTCATGTGTTATGGATGAGGAATGTTGTCAGAATTATCTGAAATGCCAGATCTCGTGAATGTTAGTGAAAAGACACAAACAAACAAAAAACACTAAAGAGCGAATGAAAATGACCTCTCTGTGGCTGACTGTAATGATACGGCTTTCTCCCCCAGTATTCAGGCCCTTGAGAGTCTCTCTGAACCTGTTCTGGTTTTGGAAACTGCCAGATGAAAAACAGAAACAGTAGGGCCCAAGAGAACCAAGTAACATGAACTCAGAGAAAGATGCCAATAGAGATAAGAAGAAAAGTTACAAACATCAAACTCGATTTTATTTATTTTTAAATCTTTAAGCATTTTTAAATTGATATGAATAATTATTTAGGAAGTACATGTGATATTTTGATACATGCATAAAATGTATAATGATCAAATCAGTATATTTAAGATACTCATCCCCTCAAATATTTATCATTTCTTTGTGTTGAGAACATTTCAAACATTCTCTTCTAGCTATTTAGAAACATACAGTAAATTATTATTATTATTATTATTTTATTTATTTATTTATTTATTTTGAGATGGAGTCTCGCTCTGTCACCCAGGCTGGAGTGCAGTGGCGCAATCTTGGCTCACTGCAAGCTCCGCCTCAGCCTCCAGAGTAGCTGGGACTACAGGCGCCCACCACCACGCCCCGCTAATTTTTTGTATTTCTAGTAGGGACGGGGTTTCACCGTGTTAGCCAGGATGGTCTCGATCTCCTGACGTCGTGATCCAGCCACCTCGGCCTCCCAAAGTGAGTAAATTATTTTTAACTGTAGTTTCCCTATTCTACTATTTAATACTAGAATTCACTCCTCCTATCTGACTGTACGTTTGTACCCATTTACCTGCCTCTCTCTACCCCTGCTCCCCACACAAACTCTTCCCAGCCTCTGGTATCCACAATACTACCCTTTACTTCCATGAGACCCTCATTTTTCATTCTTTGCCCACCTGGATATTAGGAACAATATCAAGGGGGCGGGGGGAGGTGGATGGAAAACACCAGCTATATTGAGAGTAATGTCAGCCGCTCCCCCTTTGGATATTAGGAACAATACCACAGAAGGGACGTACTCTTCCTGCGATATAGGGAGTAGCATCATCCTCTTCCTCCCTGGATACTATGAACAATATCACAGGAGGAATGTACACCTTCTGCGATATTGGGGGTAATATTATCCACTCCCGCCCTGAATATTAGAAAAAGTATCACAGGGGGGTGTACACCCCTGCGATATTGGCAGTAATATCATCCTCTCAATCCAGGGAATTACGAACAAGATCACGGGGTGGGGAGGTGTACACCCCTGCGATATTGGGAGTAATATCATCCTCCCCCAACCTGGATATTAGCAACAAGATCACAGAGGGGGTGTACACACCCTGCGACTTTGGAAGTAATAAGATCCTCTCTCCGCCGGATACTAGGAAAAATATCACAGCGCGAGTGTACATTTCCTAGGCTGTTGGGAGTAATATCATTCTTTTCCTCTCTGGATATTAGTAACAATATCACAAGGGTGCTTTACATTTCCTTCATATTGGGAGTAATATCATCCTCTCCCCGTTTGAGTATTAGGAACAATATCCGAAAGGGGTGTCCACCCTCTGCAATATTGAGAGTAATATCATCCTTTATTTCCCTGGATATGAGAAACAATATCACAAAAAGGTGAACACCCCCTGCAATATTGGGAGTAATGTTTTCTCTTTCACGGGACATTAGAAACAATATCACAGGGGATGTTTACACAACCTGCGATATTGGTAGTAATATCATTCTCTACCCCCCAGAATATTACCAACAATATCACAGGGGTGGTGTAAACCTCCTGCGATATTGGGAGTAATATCATTCTTTCCACCCCTGGATATTAAGAACAATATCACAGAAGGGTGTACATCCCCAGTGATATTGGGAATAATGTCATCATCTCCTTCCCTGGAAATTAGGAACAATATCACAGAGTGGGGGCGGTGTACACCTTCTGTGCTATTGGAACTAATATCATCTTCTCCCCCCCTAGATATTAGGAACAATGTCACACATGGTGTACACCCTCTGTGATATTAGGAAGAATATTACAGGGTGCACACCCACTGTGACTTTAGGAGAAATATGTCCCTAAAATGTTACAAATAATATCACAGCGTATACAGTAATATCTCCCTAGAATATTACAGATAATATCACAGGGTGTATACCCACTCTGATATTAGGAGTAATATCTAGGATATTATGAATAATATCACAGGGGGTACACCCACTGTGATAAGAGGAGGAATACCTCCCTAGGATATTACGAATAACATCACAGAATGTACACCCATGGTGCGCACCCACTGTGATATTAGGAGTAATATCTACCTAGGATATAATGAATAACAGCACAGCGTATACACACATGATGTACACCCACTGTGATATTAGGAGAAATATCTCCCTAGGATATTATGAGTAACATCACAAAGCGTACACAGATGGTGTTCACCCACTGTGATATTAGGAGAAATATCTCTCTAGATTATTACTAATTATATCACAGAGTGTACACCCACTGTAATATCAGGAGTAATATCTTCTTAGGGTATTAAGAATAATTTCACAAGGTGTACACACATGGTGTATACCCACTGTGATATTAGGAGTAATATCTACCTAGTGTATTAAAATAATATCACAGGATGTATACCCACTCTGATATTAGAAGTAATATTATTCTAGGTTATTAAGAATAACATCACAGGGTGTAAAAACATGGTGTACACTCACAGTGATATCAGGAGTTGTATCTCCATAAGATATTATGAATAATATCAGAGGGTATACACCCACTGTAATGTTAGGAGTAATATCTCCCTAGGATATTACAAATAATATCACAGGGTGCACACCCACTGTGATATTAGGAGCAATATCTTTCTAGGATATTACAAATAGTATCACAGGGTGTATGCCCACTATGATATTAGAAGCAGTATCTCCCTAGGATATCAAAAATAATATCTCAGGGTGTACAACTCTGCTTCCCAGGTTCTAAGGGATTCTCCTGTTTCAGCCTCATGAGTAGCTGGGGTTACAGGTGCCCGCCACCATGCCTGGCTAATTTTGTATTGTCACTGGAGACGGGGTTTCACCATGTTGGCCAGGCTGGTCTGGAACTCCTGACCTCCGATGATCCATCACCCTCAGCCTCCCAAAGTGCTGGGATTACAGGTGTGAGCCATCGCACCCGGCCAAGAGTTATACATTTAATGAATCCGGAAACACAGCTCCCATATTTGACCGTGCATTTACTTTTATGAAGAAATGATGTCAGAAAACCTAAGGATGATAATAAATATGAAAAGTAACCAGCACGTAAAAAGATCTTCTGATTAAAAACTGTAAGGTTTGATTTAGTTTTTAGATAATGCAGTCCTAGCTCTTGTATAGTGCTTATAAATATTCTACATCAAAGGAATTTGTAGCACAGTGTCAGAATAAAATAAAGTGTGTTTCACTGCTTCTTAATTTCTTTCAATTAGATTGAGTTTTTTTTTCTTAAAGAGAGAAGAACATTTTATTTATTTTTATTTTTTCTGAAAAGAATAGGCCATATTTTACTGAGATCATGGATTTGTTATATATTACATTTTGATCTTCTAACATTGGTCAGTGGCTTTTCTCTAAAGTAGGTATGTACAGAAAGAGTTGAATAGCAAAAAAGTAAATTATGTAATAATTCTGAGATTTTTGGGTTTGTCACAACGGAGAAATATTGCTGAGGGTGTGTGGTCCTCAAGTGTGAAAATGTTCCTTGTGAATTGCTTGTATCCAAAATACACACACAGCATTAAGTGCTGGTTTTTATCTTTTAATTTTCCAATCCTCTTTTCTTCTCATGGTGTCCAAGTGACACAGAGCCACAGAATCTCACAGCTGTCTCAGAATTCCTCCTCCTGGGACTCTCAGAGGATCCAGAACTGCAGCCCATCCTCGCTGGGCTCTTCCTGTCCATGTACCTGGTCACGGTGCTGGGGAACCTGCTCATTATCCTGGCCATCGGCTCTGACTCCCACCTCGACACCCCCATGTACTTCTTCCTCTCCAACCTGTCCTTGCCTGACATCGGTTTCACCTCGGCCACGGTCCCCAAGATGATTGAGGAGATGCAATCGCATAGCAGAGTCATCTACCATGGGGACTGCCTGACACAGATGTCTTTCTTTGTCCTTTTTGCATGTAAGGATGACATGATCCTGACTGTGATGGCCTATGACTGGTTTGTGGCCATCTGTCACCCCCTGAACTACCCAGGCATCATGAATCCTCACCTCTGTGTCTTATTAGTTTTGGTGCCTTTTTTCCTTAGCCTGTTGGATTCCCAGCTGCACAATTTGATTGTGTTACAATTCATCTGCTTCAAGAATGTGGAAATCTCTAATTTTTTCTGTGACCCGTTTCAACGTCTCAACCTTGCCTGTTCTGACAGTGACATCAATAACATATACATATATTTAGATAGTACTATATTTGGTTTTCTTCGCATTTCAGGGATCCTTTTGTGTTACTATACAGTTGCCTTCCCCATTCTAAGAATTCCATCCTCAGATGGGAATTATAAAGCCTTCTCCACCTGAGGCTCTCGCCTGGCAGTTGTTTGCTTATTTTATGGAACAGGCATTGGCGTGTACCTGACTTCCGCTGTGTCATCATCCCCCAGGAATGATGTGGTGGCGTCAGTAATGTACGCTGTGGTGGTCACCCCCATGCTGAACCCCTTCATCTGCAGCCTGAGAAACAGGGACATTCAAAGTGCCCTGTGGAGGCTGCACAGCAGAACAGTCTAATCTCATGATCTGTTCCATCCTTTTTCTTGTGTGCGTTAGAAAGGGCAAGCACATTAAATCTCTACATCTGCAAATCCTACCCCCTTGGTCACATTATTTTTGTTGCTTGATGGCTTTTATTCCTTTCCACATTTCCTATGTGAATATTGTCTTCTTTGTTATGCCTTTAACTGGAATGATGAGTATTCTGGGATCCTTTGTTTAGCGTAAACATCACGACTGAATCCTCTCTACCTAGGTGGCCTCCTTTAGTTTCTGAGCAATAAACCTGTTTTCCAGGTGAAATCACAACCATCTTTTCATATACAGGAAGTCCTGACTTCATTTTGTGTTTGCCTGAAAATTGACTTTATGGAAACAATGTACAGTAGGTCCTCCAACACCACTGTTTTGTTCAAAGTTGTTTACTTATAACGTTGATGAGGAATAAATTGGTTTCACTATACATAATTTTGCTTAAAGATTCAGTTTCCAAGACAGTATCAAAGACGTTCAGTGAGGACATACTGTACATCAAATTCACATCCTCTTCCTGAGTTCATGTGGAATCTCTTTAGAGACTACTTCTATGGAATCTATTTAGGCAGGTTATGTGTAGAGATCCATGTCACCGGTCTTCAATCTTGGCTTTGACTGAAATCACCTGGGGAGCTTACAAATGATGAGGCCTGTGTCTCATCACCTGAGATTCTGATTTACTTGCACCTGTGTGGGTACGCAGATTTTTTTTTTTTTTTTTTTTTTTTTTTTTTTTTTTTTTTTTTTAAAGCACCAGAGATGGTTCCAATGATAAAGTTCCTAGAGGGATCAAGCTCCAATGAGTAAGAACAGAAGTTAAATGTAACATGATTTCTTCAAATATTATCTTCAAATGCATTGCCCTTCAACACCATACAAATTTTTCTTATGCTGTTTTTTCTTACCATTTAGCATTTTCATTTTACATTTGTTGAAGTTATAGATTTATACACACATTGATTGCTGTTTTTTCACACTTGTACGTACATAAGATGGGAACTAAAAAAGAATAAAATCGTCAGGGTATCCCTAAAATTTCACATTCTGGTACATTTTAAACGTATTTGTTGTTTAAAAACTTGTTTCAATTAAGAAACTGTGGTATACACATTACAGTGAAGTATTATTCAGCCTAAAAAAGAATAAAATTCTCTCCACTGCAGCAAAAATTGATAAGATTGCAGGTCAGTATATTAAGTGAAATAAGCCAGGTGCAGAATGACAAATATTACATGCCCTCACTTATATGTAGGAACAAAAAAGAAAATCTTGGCAAGGTGTAGTGGCTCTTGCCTGTAATCCCAGCACTTTGGGAGGCCAAGTCGGATGGATCACCTGAGGCCAGGAGTTCAAAACCAGCCTGGCAAACATGGTGAAACCTCATCTCTACTAAAAATACAAAAATCAGCCGGGTGCGGTGGTGCATGCTTGTAGTTCCAGCTATTTGGGAGGCTGAGATAGGAGAATCGCTTGAAACTAGGAGGTGGAGGTAGCAGTGAGCCAAGATCATGCCTCTATACTCCAACCTGGGCAATAGAATGAGACTCCATCACACACATGCACACAAAAGGAATCTCATGAAGGTGGAGTATAAAGGTGGTTAGCAGAGGCTAGAAAGAAAAGGGGTGGGATGGGGAATGAAGAGGAGTTGATAATTGGGTACAAAAATACAGAAAGATGGAATAAATGAGTTCTAGTGTTTGATAGTACGGTACAGAAATTTTAGTTCACAAGAATTTACTGCATATTTCCCGATGGCTTGGAAAGAAGCTTTTAACTTTCTCATTATGCTGGTTTTTAAGCTATTATCTTTCTGCTCCAATCACACCCTTCTATACTCTTCATTTTGAGGCTAAATTGGGACTCCTGAAATCATGCTTTTTTTTTTTTTGAGATAGAGTTTCCCTCTTGTTGCCAAGGCTGAAGTACAATGAGTGTGATCTCAGCTCACCACAATCTCTGCCTCCTGGGTTCAAGCAATTCTACTGCCTCAGCCTCCTGAGTAGCTGGGATTATAGGCATGCGACACCATGCTCAGCTAATTTTGTATTTTTAGTAGAGATGAGGTTTCTCCCTGTTGGGTCAGGCTGGTCTTGAACTCCCAACTTCAAGTGATCGGCCCGCCTTGGCCTCCCAAAGTGCTGGGATTACAGGCATCAGCCACTGGGCCCAGCCCATGCTATATTTTTTCTGTTGTTGTTTGTTTTTGAGCCATAAATAACTTCTCACGTATATGTTCAACTGATTTTTAACATGAGTGCCAAGAAAGTTCATTGGTGGGAAAAGCAGCCTTTTTAATAAATGTTGCTGGAGAAACTTGATTTCCACAGAAGCAGAGGCTAGGAAGAAAAGGGATGGGATGGGGAATGAAATCCTGTCATTTGCAGAAAAATTGATGAAACTGGACGTTGTTATGTTAACTGAACTAAGCCAGACACAAGGAGACAAATGTTGCATTATCTCACTCATATGTAAAGCTAAAAAATTTTGATTCCATGGAAGTAAAGAATAGAATGGTGGTTGCCAAATGCTGGGATGGGATGGGAGGAAGGGAGCATGAGGAGCGTTTGGCTTATGGGTACAAAAATACAGAGAGATAGAAGGAATAAGTTCTAGTGCTTGATAGCCCATTAGGGCAACTACAGTTAAAAATAATATGTTGTATATTTCAAAATAGCTGGAGGAGAAGTGTTAGGATAATGCCAACACAAATAAATGATAATAGTTTCAGGTGATGAATATCCCAATTACACTGGATGTGATAGTTACACAATGTATCCATGTATGAAAATACCACATACAGCTCATAAATATGTATATTATATATCAATTAGAAAAATATGCATGTTACCTTGTGCAGGAGGTTCTAGCCAGTGCAACGAAGTGAGGGAAAGTAAAATTGAAACTATTAAAGGAAAAGTTGCTCCTTTAAGTAAGTGTTATGAATGTTTACCTAGAATATCTTAAGGTATCTAAATATAAAGACCAGTGGAATGAAAATAAAGAGTCCAGAAAAAAATATAAATTAGATATTATATAATATATTGCATATTAATATATTTATATCATATTAATAATATATTAATGTATATTATCTTATATATATAACATAATATGTAGATAATTAGCTGATTTTTGACAAAGATGCTGGGATATTCCATGGGGAATTAAAAGCCTTTTCAACAAACAGTGCAAGAGCAGATATCTACATAGGGACTAAAGGAACATCAAACTTGACTTCACATTAAATGCAAACATCAACTCAAAATGGGTCATAGACTTGAAAGTAACATCTAAAGTATAGAAACGTCTAGAAAAAATCATAAAAGAAAATTGTAGGGATATAAAGATTATTACACACTTCTAAAAGAGTACTCAGAAAGCATAATTCATAAAAATATGTATTAAATTAAACCAAAACTAACAGCTCTTTTCTTTAAAGAATAGCGTTAATAAAATAAAAAAGGCAACTAAAGAGTGGTAAAAATATTTCTTAATATTTCTGAGTAAGAGTTTGTATACAAAATGTGTAAAGAACACTTGCCATCCAATCATAAGAAGACAATCCTGGGCCGGGCGCGGTGGCTCACGCCTGTAATCCCAGCACTTTGGGAGGCCGAAGCAGGTAGATCACGAAGTCAGGAGATCGAGACCATCCTGGCTAACATGATGAAACCCCGTCTCTACTAAAAATACAAAAAAAAAATTAGCCGGGCGTGGTGGCGGGCGCCTGTAGTCCCAGCTACTCAGAAGGCTGAGGCAGGAGAATGGTGTGAACCTGGGAGGCGGAGCTTGCAGTGAGCCGAGATGGCACCACTGCACTCCAGCCTGGGCAGCAGCGTGAGACTCCATCTCAAAAAAAAAAAAAAAAAAAAAAGAATACAGTCCTGTAAGAAATAAATGAATTTATTAAACAAGTTAGCCAAAAATTACTTGTAAGTATTCAATAAGCACATAAAAATGTGCACACCATTTTAGTCATTAAAGACATAGGAATAAAAATCCAGAACCTACCCATGACTATGGCAAAAGTTGAAAATTCTAACAGTGTCAAGTTTTGGCAAAGGTATAGAAGTATTTTTACTCTCATACTTTGTTGGAGAGAATGTAAAAGAATATAAGTGCTTCAAAAAACACTTTGACAATTTCCTAAAATATAAATAAATTCTATAACATGATTCATTTATCCAAAATAAATGAAAATATGTGTCAAATGTAAACCGCGTTTATGAATACACACAGCCGCTCCATGTACAACACCAAAACATGGAAACAATCAAAGCTCACCAGCAGAGGAATGCATAAGCAAATTACGGTATGTTCATCCAATGGAATTCTATTCTGCAATGACAATGAAAAAACTATTGATATTTACATCATAGATGTCTCTTAAATCTTTATGCTAAGGAAAAAAACTTCACACATAAAAATGTATATTCTGTTGATTATTAATTATCTTTAACTATAGGAATCTGATCTGTGGTTTCCTTGGGTTACAGGCGAAAATGAATGATATTGAAAAATTTTAAGAAGGACTGTTTCTGGATAATGTGAATGTTCTGTACCTTGATTGTGGTTTCACAATTGAATATGTCTGTCACCACATTGAATTTTAAATATAATTAAATATATTTTAAAGTATGTAGTTTATTTTCTGAAAATTATGCTTCAGTAACATTGTTAATATAAGAGTAAGACCATATTAAAAATAATAATTACATTGTATTAATATAAGATGCAAATATATTTTTATAAAACAACTAAAATACATGGACAAATATCAGGAATAATTATTGTGTTGTAAATTTTAACATTTAAACATAAATATAAATGTATTCAAGTTATCACATGCTATGTTGCATTTGAAACTTGCTTTTAAATACAGGTTTCACAATATAATATGTCAATTTTAGTTTCTCCATTTACTTTCAAAATTGTCAGAGTTAGATAATAAATAAATTGATGCTCTAAGTGATGCCTAAAATCTCAGAGAGCTACCAATTAGCCAGCTTTAACTTGAAACAGAGAGGCATGAGGGTACTAGGATATTTAAAATCTATATTTCAGAAAAATTTGTCACAGGGATTGTTGTGCAGTAATTAAATGAGAGTTTTTTTTTTTTAATTTCCAAGAAAATGTTACAGCCAAAAACATCACAAGGTCAAGATTACTAAATCTTTGACTCTTCGATCTGTAAATAAATTCCAGGTCCTCAGACCTGCTTCACCATTAATTGAGATGCAAATCTGAGCAGGGTGCAAGGAGACTGGGATTGTTCAAATCTCCTTTAGATGCCACTGCAAAAGAGGTAAACAAGGTAGAGTGGAACCAAGCGTTTAGAAGAAAAATTAATAAAGGAATCTATTTGTATGCAGGGTAAGTGTCCTTAAGATTCTACCCAGAGAAATAGTGACAGCTGTCTCTCCAAAAAAAAAAAAAAAAAAGCATCAGCATGTTCCACTCCAATGTCACTGTATACTGAGTGTGTAGTGGAAGAAATATTTCCATTTTTTATTCATTGGTCTCTTAAACTGAAGGAGATCACCCATACCTAATATAGAGAAATGGGTAATAATCATAGATCATAAATTTTTAGGGCTGAACGTTATGGCATTGGGGAAATACCTTCTATATTTGGGAGAAAGAGTGAAATACCCTGGGGTGGAATCTGCCTTGATGTTCTCCAAAAATCGTTTTGTTTTTTTGACCTACAGTAATACAACATCCCCTAGCCCTCTCACATTTAAGTTAGATCATGTTAATAGTTTCTACAATAGCATATGTGTGGAAATGACGCATCTATCATGTGCTGAGACTCTTTAGAGGGAGTTTCTTTCCTTATGCTCTGTCCATACTTGGTTCTCAGCTCTCTGAATGCTCGTGGTCCAATAGAGAACTACAAAGATGACCTAGGGAACAATAGGACTATCAGATGGAAGGAAATAGAGTTTTTTAATTACTAACCACCACATTGCACTATGATATGAATGTAAGATACTTCTTTATTTTGATAAGGCGTTGATATATCTGTGGTAATGTTTCAGGTTTTAGACTTGTTCAGGTCACTGTGGTATTTAAATGAATTATGAAATACCCAATTTATCCAATTCTCCTTTTTCATAATACACCAGTGTACTCCAGTGGAAAATGGACATTCAGCTTGTCCCAACCTGGTAATGGAAAGTTTCTGGAAAATCATGAGTACCATTTTCAATTGTAGATGGAAATGAAGAAAGCCCTCTTTGGACATACCAAATCAGTGATAATAAAGAGTACAGAGGAACAATGTAGGAGAGGCATGCTGTGGTATAGAGAAGCAGATTTAGCATGCATAGAGGAAGTTGGTTTTAGAAACATACTGTCAAATGGTCATAGAACGCCAAACAAGAAGAAACAAATGTAACTCCACATAGAAGTAGATTTGGTGCTCCTGATTTTATGCCTGAGAAACATCACCATACACACCCGGAAGTAGCTGCAATAGGGAAAGGATGTTGAAAAGTTTCTTCTTTTCCTTCTGTTTTAAATAATCTAGTTTAAAATGTTTATTTTTGAAGTGGCTTGCATTAAATTTTTTTTTTTTATTGTAGGTTCAGGTGTCCATTTGAAGGGTTGTTCCACATGGGGTTTGTTGTACAGATTTCACCCAGGTATTATTTTTTGTTTTTCTTTTGAGACAGAGTTTCACTCTTGTTGCCCAGTCTGGAGTGCAATGGCACGATCTCGGCTCACCGCAACCTCCACCTCCCAGGTTCAAGTGATTCTCCTGCCTCACCCTCCCTAGCAGCTGAGATTACAGGCATGTACCACTACACCTGGCTAATTTTGTATTTTTAGTAGAGATGGGATTTCTCCATGTTGGTCAGGCTGGTCTCGAACTCCTGACATCAGGTCATCCGCCCTCCTCGGCCTCCCAAAGTGCTGGGATTACAGGCTTGAGCCACAGTGCCTGGCCCTCACCCAGGTATTAAGCCTAGTACCCAATAGTTATTTTTTCTGCTCCTCTCCCTCCTTTCATTCTCCATCCTCAGGTAGGCCCTCCATGTGTCCATGTGTTCCCATCACTTAGCTCTCACTTTTAAGTGAGAGCATGCAGTATTTGGTTTTCTGTTCTTGAGTTAGTTCGCTAAGGATAATGGCCCTCAGCTCCATCCATGTTCCTGCAAAGGACATAGTCTTCTTTTTTAATGGTTTCATAGGATTCCATGATGTATACGTACCACATTTTCTTTATCTAGTCTACCACTGATGGACATATAGATTGATTCCATGTCTATGCTATTGAGAATAGTGCTGCAATGAATGTATGTGTGCATGCATCTTTATAATGGAATGATTTCTATTCCTTTGGATCTAGAGCCAGTAATGTGATTATGGGGTAGAATGGCAGTTCTGTTTTTACCTCTTTCAGGAATCGTCACACTGCTTTCCACAATGGTTGAACTAATTTACACTCCCATCAAGACACTGTAAGTGTTGCCTCTTCACTGCAACCTCACCAGCATCTGTTATTTTTTGACTTTTTAATAATAGTGATTTTGACTGGTGTGAGATGGTATCTATCTCATTGTGGTTTTGATTTGCATTTCTCTAATGATCACTGGTTAGTGATGGAAAGTTTGATTTGCATTTCTCTAATGATCACTAGTTAGTGACCATTAGACCCGCTCAGGGAGGGACGGGCCCACAAACGCTCCGAGGACAACGGCTCTGCAGCAGGGCCAAAGGTGCACTCACTCCGGGAGCAGTGGCACACAGGATGTATGGGCACACTCACAGTGGCAGGGAAGGGAAGGCAATGTCCTCTGGCACACACACTCACTGGCAAAGGGATGCTGGTATTAGTGTTTTTATAATTAGCATAAATAATAGGAGAGAGACATAAATAGGGGGTGGCTATGGGTGAGTGAGTGCAGGCAAAGTGGCCCGAGAGGCTGCAGTGCAGGGAGGGTGCTGGTGGGCTGGCCTGTGTCTGCACAGGCTACTCTGCTGGATCAGTCTGCTGGTCAGCCGGGGGTCCACCAGCACAGGAGCTATGATGTGGCCCCCAGGAGGTACCTGGCTGGGGGCCAAGCTGGGACCCAGGAGAGGCCAGCAAACTGAGTGGTGCTGAAGTTAGAATAGCCTCATGTAGTGGGTGAGACTGCCGTGCAGAATTCAGGTCCCATAGTTCCCATAGGGCTAAAGCTTCCTACGGGAGCAGGTCAAGCCTGGGGGGATGGGCATCCCTGGCCATGCTCCACTACAGACACTTTCACACTAAACCCTCTGGATTCCACACAGGCTGGAGTTCTGCCCCTACCACTTGTCTAAGCATCTCTCCCTGCCAGTTCAAGTGTTACTTGTGGTCCAGGGGTTTTCTCCTGCTGGGATTCGGAGGCTCATGGAAAGAGAGGGTTGCTCCTTGCCCATTCAACTCATGCTTTTGCAGGAGTCACTGGGGGCCAGGAATGCTTCCTGTGTGTGGTACCCCCATGCAGAATTCCTTTCCTTCTGAAGATTTGCTAGGAGTGCACCAATCTTCCTGATGTCCTGGTCCCTCGTGGGCGATGTTCCTCTTGACTGCGTCTAGTGGGACGTCTTGGAGTGGTATATTACATTTTCAATCAGCTGGATACATTTCCCTGGTGCCTTATAGACAACACAGAATGAAATAAATGTATAGATAGATTTTCTCAGCAGAATTAACATGTTTTAATATCCACAAAAAAAGTTAACCTAGGAACAGAGGGTTCCACATCTGAAAAAGAATCTCACCGTTCAATATGTCGAAGACATCAAGCATATCATGTTCGTGTGATTAAACACATGATATATTTTTTAAAGGTCTAGTTAATTTGGATCTGGATAAATTATTGGAATAGAAGTAAGGCAGACAAATCCACACTAAGTATTAGGGGCCTCAAATACACAGTTGGAAAATTTTTAACTTTTTCCTGAAAGTAATACTAGACAACTAAATGGTATTTAATTAACTCCCCTCATGAGGAGATGAAGAGGAGGATAAGTTTACTTAAAGTAGTTTTGAAAAATGAATCAGAATGATTGACAAACAGAAGCAGCCTTCTAGAAATTAAACTGATACTCAAGAGAAGACACATCCCAGGTTGAGTCTGACTATTCCTATATAAGAGCTGTTGCTGTTTGAAACAAGCAAGCGTATTGCAAAATTACAGTTCCCGAGAAAAGGAAGAGCTTAAAAAGTCTGTACAGACAGCTTCATGCAAATCCCTAAAGGTAAGCCATAATTGGGTTGACAGACTATTTTATTTAAGAATAGTTACAAGTTTGTGGATAGAAATGCAACTAATAAAACAGAAAAGCATGAAATTTTGAGACCTTTATCTGAAAATTAATTATTTAACATTTAAATCATGTATCTCTTCACTACAAAGTTAAATAAAATTAGATGTCCAATAATGGTAAAATTGCATTAGTGATGAAAAGTCATTTAAGGCAATTTTGAAAACTAGTACTAATAGAAATGTATAAATATGAGATAGTATTTGTCTGATCACTTTCATTTATCAACGTATTAAGTCAAATGCATTGGCTGACCGGGCTAAAATAGGTATAGGTGCAGCAGATTTGAAGACACAGAAAAAAAGAATTTGTTTAGAAAGTTGGAGAACAAACGTTAAGCAAGTGTAATGGGAATTGACAAGCAGTGATTTCCTCATATTGGATGACATTGACATGAAGTGAAGCAAGACAGTGTGTTTTTGTTTTGTTTTGTTTAATTTTTTGGTCCCATTTATATGCTCTGGCCACTTAGATGGCCAGAGTAAATGTTAGCTGGGTTTAATCAAAGAATTTTACTTTAATAAGGCAACAGGATGAAGGGAAAATAGAGAGAAGGAATTGTATTTGGTTGAAAGGAACTGTATTTGGTTATATGACAATGGAGAAATTCACTTAGATAAAAAAAAGAAATGTAAAAAAAATTGTGATGAATTTCTACATCTTGATTAAGTTATAATTTAATTACTATTTAGCATTCACTGTATTCAGGGCAATAACAGGGGAAGTCAATAAACTGCCTACTGGTATTAGTGTTTTTATATTTAGCATAAATAATAGGAGAGAGACATGAAGTAGAGCAACAATAATGCATGTATTTAGTCTCTCAGTAACCAAGAAATTGTTTAAGATAATTGATTCTCACTGGTGCATAAAAGGAAAAGTTTAAAATTCATTTTGAGTATGAATTAATCGTAATATTCAAGGGCAACATTTTGAATTAAAAAAACTGGAATATGACTACCAATACAAAGAAAAATGATATTCTCAGATGAAATAGTAAAAGCCTACACTATAACTCTACTCTTAAGTGTGAAATAATAAGATGTTATTCCTCCATAATATTTTCTAAACAACAATGCATGCTTCTCAATGCCTCTGGTTGCATTATATCCCAGTATAATAAAATATATTGAGGTTTCATTTCTTAAATTGATTTTAATGCTAAATCAGTTTATTATCTAGAAACAGAGCAAGTACTGGTGAAAATGACTTAAGAGCTTAAGTAAGTATATTCCTGTATCTCATTTAGTTAACCCAAGAGGAAAATATTGTTCAAAATATGGATGAATTAACTGTCTTGAATTTGCTATATCTGCAGATGGAGAGCAAACTAAAAGAGAAAAATCAAATGTGACTACAATAATGGAATTTGTTCTTTTGGGGTTTTCTGATATTCCCAATCTCCACTGGATGCTTTTTAGTATATTTTTACTTATGTATTTGATGATCCTGATGTGCAATGGCATCATAATACTACTAATAAAAATTCACCCCGCTCTCCAGACTCCCATGTATTTTTTTCTTAGCAATTTTTCCCTTTTGGAAATCTGTTATGTAACAATCATTATCCCAAGAATGCTCATGGACATTTGGACTCAGAAAGGAAATATTTCTTTGTTTGCTTGTGCTACACAAATGTGTTTTTTTCTTATGCTTGGAGGCACGGAGTGTCTCCTTCTGACAGTGATGGCCTATGACCGCTACGTGGCTATTTGTAAGCCTTTGCAGTATCCTCTAGTGATGAACCACAAAGTCTGCATTCAGCTGATAATAGCTTCCTGGACCATCACAATTCCTGTAGTAATTGGGGAAACATGCCAAATTTTCCTTTTGCCCTTTTGCGGAACTAACACAATTAATCATTTCTTTTGTGACATCCCGCCAATACTCAAGCTTGCTTGTGGAAACATATTTGTGAATGAGATAACAGTCCATGTAGTAGCGGTGGTGTTTATCACGGTGCCATTTCTGTTGATTGTTGTCTCTTATGGCAAAATTATCTCCAACATTTTGAAATTGTCATCAGCCAGAGGAAAGGCTAAAGCCTTCTCCACCTGCTCATCTCACCTAATAGTTGTAATCTTATTCTTTGGAGCAGGTACTATCACTTATTTACAGCCCAAACCACATCAGTTTCAAAGGATGGGGAAACTGATTTCTCTTTTCTACACCATTCTGATTCCAACTTTGAATCCTATTATATATACCCTGAGGAACAAAGATATCATGGTGGCATTGAGAAAATTACTAGCTAAGTTATTAACATGAGATGAAGACTTGAAATTACAGAAATAATTTCTTTATAGGTTTGTCATGTGGCTTCAGTGAATTTTTTTTTAACTTTGTCCCTATGGTATTCAATAATGAGTACTGAAATTTAAATACAAACTTACATTATGTCAAGGGGTGTTTTATTCACAGAATATAGTTATGTGCTACTGTGCAGTTGGAGCACAATTTAACTAAGGTGCCAAGATCTCATTCTGAAGATCAATGGTTAACTGTTGATTAAGAGACCACCTGAGCAATAAAATGAAAAATAACTGAGTGAGTCATATAATTAGGGGTTAGGATCAGGCTCTGTAATACATCTTCTTTCACCTTCCCATTCCTTCAGATGTATTTACCACCTTTCTCTGACCCTTGGGTTTGGATTTAACTGATTAGAAACACCAAAAATAGCTAAGATGGTGGAAACAAAGGATATGGGATTTTCTTTGCATTTTACCCTACTTGTTTCTCATATCTTTGTCCATATATTTTTAAATCTAAATATCCTGAGAATGTTTATTCCTCTAACTGCCTACATCTTACTCGTCTCTGATAACATATTTTCTTTCCTTGTAGCTTCAGGTCTTGCTTTGTTAATATTTAGTTTTCATCCTAAACTAGCCTTACCTATGTGTGTTGGGTTGAATGTTGGACCCTCAAAATAGAAATCTCCAACTAGAACCTTCAAATTTAATCTTATTTAGAAAAACAAAGACTTTCAGCTATAGTGAAGCTAAAGATTGTAAATGAAAGTACCATGATTTAGGTTGCACATGAAGTCCAACGACAAGTGTTATTATAAAAGACAAAGAGGCAGAAGAAGTTTGAGGGGAAAAAAGGTGCAGAGAAACAGAGAAGGACATCATGTAAAGGTGAAGGCAGAGACTGGAATGATTCAACCACAAACCAAAGATGGTCAAGATTCACCAAAACAAAAAGGGGCAAGGAATGAGTCATCCTTAAAGCCTTTGAAGGAAGTGAGTTCCTGCCAACGTTGTGATTTTGGAGGAGCCTAGAGAACTGATGAGTGACTAATCTGCTATTGCCTTAAGCCACCCAATTTGCAGTAAGTTGTTAAGATAAACCAGGGGAAATAATATATCACACAAATTGTCCTCTTATTTAAGTTTTTTATTTGAATATCTGGAATGAATTCTGTATTCCACCTTGCCTCAGCTGATTCAGCTGATATGCCATTCCACCCTACCCTTCAATTGTTGCATGCATTTTGGGCAGTAAATTGACTTCTGTTTAAAAAAAAAAATATATATATATATATATATATTCTTCTTACTTTACAAGCTAAATCAATGAAATTTGATCTTGTAGAGGTAATATATTTTCAATAGTTATTACAAACGTGTTTTTTCAAAAACTTTTATAACGAAATTTGTTTTATTGATGCAAAACAAATTTGGGAGTAAAGGGAAGTCACTCTCAGAGTATATGAAGACACTGGAGTACATCTTTACCTTACAGTAATGCACAGCCTCTCAAGATAATGTCTCAGAACTGCTCAATTGAAGAAATTCCTACTTCCCTAATATGTAAGAATGCATATGTACTTAAAAAATATAACATCATTTTTGTAAAACCAATAATAATAGCAACTATAATTTCATATAGCATTTTACATGTGCATATTAGGAATGGGATGTTTGCATATTAGCAGTGTCTAGGAGGATATGCATCAGAAGAGAATATTGGCTTCTTCATACTGGCAAGAATTCAGAAGATTTCTGTTTTATTATATTTTAATTTACAATTTATATTTACTACATGGGGAATATAAAGTTAGATCACAAGAAATAATATGTTTTGTTATTATGAAAATATAAAACTATATTACAAAGAAAATATTTGCGTTTCTCTTTTTTATTTCTACTAAATGTCATAAAGAATATTTCCCATCAAGTAGGTAAATTTTTTACATCAACCAAATCTAATTTTGAAAGAAAAATAAATATCTTTTGATCTAACAGGAATGCCATAAAAACATATGGCATTTAGGGACATTCTTTCAAAGTATAACTGAAAGTCATTTAATGATAGTATCAGAGAGAGACAAATTTAAAATAACAAAAGTGGGCATAATTAAAAACAAATGACTAACGGTGAGCCTTAAATGATGGTCAACGAAACAATCTAGAAAAAAAGAAAGAGAAAAATATGAACAAATATTGAATTGATGAGTGGATTCTTACTAATATTTAGCAAATCAAATAGATAATAAGCACAATAAAAATTTACGTGACTATTGACAAATGATTTTCCAGTCTGTAATAAATGAAATATGCAAAAATGAATTTGCATATTATCAGAAGCCATATAAGTGGTGTATTTATAAAGTGAGCCTTTGTCCTTTTTAATGCAAAAAGATATGTATAAATTTTTGTTCATATACTTGCTGACAATGATAATTTAAACAAATTCCAAAATAACAAAGTAAAAAAATAGCAAAAATTTAATCATTTAAAAAAATGGAACTTAAAGCACTTAATAAGGCTAATAAAATAAAGATAACATGAATCTATTTATACTTAATGACAATACAATGGGTAAGTTAATTTTCTTTCTTTCTTTTTTTTTTTTTTTTTGAGATGAAGTCTTGCTCTTTTGCCCAGGCTGGAGTACAGTGGCCCAAATTTAGCTCACTGCAACCTCCACCTCCCAGGTTCAAACAATTCTCCCACCTCAGCCTCCCAAGAGCTGGGATTACAGTCACGTGCCACCATGCCCGACTAATTTTTGTGGTTTTAGAGGAAATGGGGTTTCACTATGTTGGCCAGACTGGTCTTGAACTCCTGACCTCAAGTGATCTGCCCTCCTCGGCCTCCCAAAATGCTGGGATTACAGGCGTGAGCCATCGCACCTGGCCGGTAAGTTAATTTTTTGATATCCCACCATATCAACCCAATTAAGAAAATATATATCTCTAAATATTGTCAAATCATTGATCAAATATTTCCTATGTATCATTATTAAGCCTAAAGAAAATAAATACATTTGTACTGTTTTCTCTAATTTGAGTATTTGAAAGGATTCACCAGATTATACAGAATGTACCCAAAGAAGGATTTTTTAAAGTCAAAGGACAGGCATGGTGACTCACGCATATAAACCTAGCACTTTGGGAGACCAAGGCCAGGATGAGCACTTGAGACCAAGAATTTCAGAGCAGTATGGGCAATATAGTGAAACTGTGACTCCACTAAAAAATTAAAATAAGCTGGCATGTTGACATGTGCCTGTGGTCCCAGCTACTTGGGAGGTTGAGGCAGGAGGAGTGCTTGAGCCTAGGGGTTTGAGGCTACAATAGACTGTGATCATACCAGTGCACTCCAGCCCGGGCGACACAGCAAGATCCCATCTCAAAACCAAACCAAACAAACAAAAAAAACAAATGAAGTTAAAAAATATTGTTTACGAGAAAAGGAAAACTGCAGGCATGCATTGAATGTCTTAGAGTATTCAGCAAGAAGAAATTCCCAGGGCCCTTTCTTTCCCATACAAGAAATTACATTCTTACTTATTAATAACATCAGGTGAACTGTGGAAAGAATATGGATTTCTGGAGAGGTCAGAGAGTAAAGGGAATTGAGGTGGAGTATAATTTCTGTTGTCATTTTATCAAGTCAGGTTGTCAAACTCATTACAGCAGTCACAAACCATCTAAAAAGAAAGTGACTGAGGTTCCAGAGTTGTTTTAGACCTTATACAGAATACCATATCTTATCTTATCTGATCTTATCTTCACCAAGAGTAAAAATCTAGGCATCCATACATTCCCAGATAAAGAGAGCTTTTCTAACAAAAGGTGTAGATCAACTCTATATCCACAATGGTAATGGTATATTCAATGCCTTTTAAGTGATTGCATTGCCTTTCTAATGCAGCATAACAAATGACTACAAACTTGGCAATTTAAGAAAACATACATTTATTATCTCGCAGTTTCTCTAGGTCATAAATTTGGCACAGGATAGTAGGCTCCCTGCTTAGAGTCTCAGAGGCTGAAATCAAGGTATCAGCTAGGCCAAGTTCTTGTCTGGAGGCTCTGGGGAAGAATATCTGATTATAGCTAGGGTCAGTTACATTGTTGGTAGAGTCTAGTTTCTTAGTTTCTTGAGATTGAAAGACAGGTCAAATTTCTTTTCTTTTCTTTCTTTCTTCTTTTTTTTTTTTTTTTTTTTTGAGACAGAGTCTCCCTCTGTCGCCAAGCTGGAGTGCAGTGGCACAATCTAGGCTCACTGCTACCTCCTACTCCCTGGTTCAAGCGATTCTCCTGCCTTAGCCTCCCGAGTAGCTGGGATTACAGGCACGCACCACCACACCCAGCTAATTTTTGTATTTTTAGTAGAGATGGGGTTTCACCCTGTTGGCCAGGATGGTCTCAATCTCCTGGACAGATCCAATTTCTTAGCTGGATGTCAGCTGAGGCCAAATCTTATCTCCTAGAAGCTAATTGCATTCCCACGCCCTCTCCCCTCTTCCATTTCCCTCACTTTAAATCTGATTTTTTTTTTTTATCTCTGACCACTGTACCTAGATTTAAGGATTCATATGATTAGGTCAGGTCAACATGAATAATTACCCTAAAGTCAACTGATATTAGACCTTAATTATATGTGCATAATGCTTTTACAGCAAGGCCTAGATTAGTGGTTGATTGCACAACTAGGAGACAGGTATAAGTACAGGAGGGAGCAGTAATATTTGGGCCATCATAAAATTGTACCTAGTACAGTTATTCAATAAACAAATGTTAAAATCTGAAGAAAATGATAAAAATGTATAAAAGCAAAAGCTAATTAAAATCTACTTTCAAATGGGATTAGTAAATTTATGTGAGAAGTTCTGTCTATCTTACTTTCAAGTAAAAATTCAGAAGGCCAGGTGTTGTGGCTCAAATCTGTAGTCCCACCACTTTGGGAGTCCAAGGCAGGAAGAACGCTAGAGCCCAGGAGTTCGAGACGATCCTGGGCAACATGGAAAAAACCCTGTCTCTACAAAAAATACTAAGAAATTAGCCAGATATGGTGGCCCACGTCTGTAGTCACAACTTCTTGGGAAGCTGAGGTGGGAGGATCATCTGAGCCCAGGAGGTCGAGGCTGCCTTGAGCCGTGATGGTGCCACTGCACTCCAGCCCAGGTGACAGAATGAGATCCTGTTTCAAAAAAAAAAGAAAAAAAAATCAACTTAGAAACTGAGGCAAGCATAAAGAGTTTGGTCTTAGCAAAATTGGGAGAGAACGAGAAAAGGGCATGGATCAAATAACGTTTTGTTTCAAATTAGAATGTGATGTGGGAGTGAGTACAAAAGTCTCTGTTATACCTAACAATAATTTTCACACAGATCAAGGAAGTTGGTTAGAAATGATAGCAGGGACTGTGATAATTTTTTTTCTCTGATATATATCAGATTTAAAATAGTTCTATTTATCACAGACAGGAGATACAGCTTGTAATAGCACCCATGTTGTCCTTGACAAAAATAATTAACTCTCCAACTACGATAGTGTTGGTTTTAAAAAGAAATAGATCATAATAAATAAAGCATGTGCATGTAATATATAAGAGTCTAATGTTCCCACATTCTAAGACTCAGGTGCAAGAATTAAGGAGAAACATTAAGAAACAGAGATAAGAAAGGAACTCAAAGACACAATTTAAATATTCTCCAGGGAATTATAGATGGCATTAAGAAGTGTTGCTTTCTCAAGAGTATTCTTGCTGCTGCCAAGATTTAGTGGGGTTGGCGGGGTGGGTGGCCAGGGAACTGAATTCCACTGGATGACTGTTGTGAAGGGCAGCTTTGGCCAGAGTGTCTGTCGAAAATTCTAAATGAGTGATCAGCAGAAGCACAAAGTTAAATATTAAGGTGACATATGGGAAATAAATGTAATCAGTAGCAAAAGAAGAATATTTTTATTTAAAGATAACATGATGTTTTGGATTTTTTCTTTTGTTTTTTGAGACAGAGTCTCACTCTGTCACTCAGGCTGGAGTGCAGTGGTGCAATCTTGACTCACTGCAACTTCCTCTTCCCAGGTTCAAGCGATTCTCCTGCCTCAGCTTCCCAAGTAGCTGGGACTACAGGCACCCGCCACCATGCCCGGCTAATTTTTGTAGTTTTTTAGTAGAGATGGGGTGTCACCTTGTTGATCAGGCTGGTCTCGAACTCCTGACTTCAAGTGAGCCGCCTGCCTCAGCATCCCAAAGTGCTGGGATTACAGGTGTGAGCCACCGTGCCCAGCCTGAATACACATATATTCTGAAAGAGACATGAGTTTCTGTCATGAGAAGAAAAATTTGTTAAAAGTATTTTATTAACACAATTTAAAGTAATGAATATGCATATTATATTTACACAATATATAATTATATATTAACATGTACTTAAACTCTTCTACTGAGAAAGCTATAACTAAATCTAGCAGAGAGCTATAACAAAATCTAGAAACATACAAATTATTTTAAATGTTATAACCTTTGTATTTGTTATTTTAAAACATTGTAGAAATATGAGAATCAAGATTCAATAGATTCAAAATTCAGCATGTAAACAAGTTTTTAAACACAAAAATTTTATTCAATCAAAGCCTTCATAGTTGGATTTCTCCCTTCCTAATTATGGAGGAAACAAAACAAAAGTAATACTAATCACTTTGAAGCTCAGACAACCCTACGTAAATACAGCTTGTTTAGTGATGGTCATCTATCAGTGGCACAATAGAAACTTATTTGGCATAATTTCTTCTAAGGAAAATATTGGTTTATATTTACGTACGTTTCTATGACTCAATATATGACAAGATGCTCCCTAGGTTATGGGAGACCAAATTTCTAATATTTTTCTCAGACATATTTTTCCTAGATTTTCTTATAATAGTAGGTTTAAAATAATAATAACGTACAAATGTGGTAGCTATCATTTCCAAGTCATCTCTTGATTTTTCTCACAGTTTTTTTTTTTAGCATCTTCACCGGTATGCTCAAAACTTTAAGCAAACACTTCAGTTTTGTTTTTTTGAGATGTAATGAAAAATTACTGAATTTCAGAAAGCCATTGTTGAAAGATTTATGAACACTGTGATTGTACTTACAGTTCATTCTCTAAATTGAGATCACACTATAATTTAAAATAATCTATAATGGATTCAGAGTCATCCTACTTGATGATTAAAGAATGTGATAATGGACCGGGCGCAGTCACTCACACCTGGAATCTGAACACTTTGAGAGGCTGAAGCCTGAGGGTGCCTTGAGCTCAGGAATTTGAGACCAGCCTGGGCAACATAGCAAGATCCTGTGTCTACAAAAAAATTAAAAAATTAGCCTGGCATGGTGGCATTCGCCTGTGGTTCCAGCTACTTGGGAGGCTGAGGTGAGAGGATCCTGTGAGCCAGACAGGTCGAGGCTGTAGTGAGCCCAGTTTGCAGGACTGCACTCCAGCAAGACCCTGTCTAAAATAATAATAATAATAATAATAATAATAATAATAAAATAAAGGAAAGGAAAATAAAATAATTTGACATTTATCCATCAAATAGGATAAAATCATATTCAAATAACATTATGCACATAAAGGAAATGATAACTACGTAAAGAAAACACTTGGTGTGTTTTCTTTTTCGTGTTAACTAGCACTTACCATTTCCTTTTTCCATTTGTAAATATGTATTTACTTGGGTCTCCTATGACATTGGATGTTTTGTCAGGAATTTTTGTTCTCTCTTTTTTGAGAATAATGCAGTCTTATAGTAGATTTACATTAAATTAAATCCAAAATAGTTATTCACAAAAATATTATATGCCCAAACTCATTAACACCTTCTATGGGTCTATACAAGGAAATGAGAAGCACTGTCTCAGCTTTATGGGAAGTTGTCAGGCACAGAGAAGGCACATGTATAAATTGCCCTAAAACAATATCAATTGGCAATATTTATGTGCCAATAGCACATAAATACATAGTTTAGGTGTTAGGGATTATACATCAAGATCGCACTCTAATTTAAAATAATCTATAATGAATTCAAAGACTCATCTTAATTGATGGTTAAAGTATTTCATATTTATAAAATATCCTGGATTACTTGACTATGATGTAACTTACACATTATTATATAAAATACATATGACAGATAACTGAGAACCATTTAAGGAGACCACATCTTGTCTCATGTGTCAAACAGCATCCTGTCTGATAGCTCACTAATGAGACAGACTTTTTCACATGCTTTCTATCCAAAATGAATATTCTCTTCTTTTGATCTTTCAGACAACTATCTAAAAATTATAATGTATTATAATTTTCACATCTCAGTTTTGATTTCCATATGCTGCATCTCAGCTATATTATTAAAATGAGAATGACCCATGGCACACAGTGAGACATCTGAGGTTAGATAAATGAGGCGAATTTCTTGAAATCATATCAGTGCAATTTATTCTATATTGTCTTTATTAATGGCCAACCACAAGGCTTAAAAAAAAAAGAAAACAAACAAGCAAAATCATTTAGTAGACATTTGCTTCATGAGAAAATAGAGTAGGATTGTGAAGCATAAGAAAGCAATGATCATTTTATTTTGATAGATAAGTGAAACAGGATATAGTTTCAAAGAGAGGTATATGAACAAAATATTAGAGCCATAATCATGTGATGTGGAAGGGAAGGCACATGCTGTACTTGCAAAAGGCTTCATGGAAGAGTTGAGGCGTTATTGAAAAATACAATTCAAAATTTAATGGTGTACATTCCATTGGGAAATGTGAGAAATATAACTGCTTTTGCTTCAAGATTCTTTTTGTTTATATGTGTGATAAGAAGCCTCACTTTAATTTGTTCATATACAAGCAAAAATTGGAAATGCATAATTCTAGAGCCATTTGCTGTCATTCAAATGCAAATCTAGTATTATATATAATTATTTTAATATGTTAAGGATTTAGTGTATATTTGACATTAGACTTCAGTTGTGTTCTTTGATCATAAGATTTAAAATAGTAGAGTAGAAATGGAGATGATAAATTTTATATGCTACTCATTCAAACGCCTCTAGTGGTTTAAAACCAAGCCAAAAGGATAAATAATTAATTTCACTGTTTTCACAGACTGAAAGCTAACCATGGGAAGTAAATTTCCTTTCAGTAAAGGTATACATTCTTTGGAGATTTTTGATATTCTCAATCTCCAATATTTATTTTCTTTCTTTTCTATGTGATAATCATGATGGGAAATGATAGGAAATAATGGAAATCATATTTTAATCATCAGGATTGACCAGGATCACCTGATTCCTATGTATCTTTTCTGCAGTGTTTTTTCCTTCTTTAAATATGTTTCATGTCTCTCACTGTACTTAGAATGTTCATAAAGCTTTGGATTCAGAAAACAAATATTTATTTGTTTGCCTGTGTTAAACAAATGTGCTTTCTCCTGATGTTTGTAACTATCGAGTGCTTTCTCTGGACAGTGATGACCTATAACCACTTTGTGAATCACAAGGTCTCTAACTGATGATTGGCTCCTAGACTGTCGGAGTTTCAGGGTAGATAAGGCAGACATGTCAGGCTTTCTCCATGCCCTTTTGTGAATCTTATTTTTTTTTCATTTTTTTTTAAATTTTTTTTTAATTTTTGAGACAGAGTCTTGGTCTGTCACCCAGGCTGGAGTGCAGTGGAGCGATCTCGGCTCACTGCAAGCTCCACTCCCTCGGTTCACACCATTCTCCTGCCTCAGCCTCCCGAGTAGCTGGGACTACAGGTGCCCGCCACCACGCCCTGCTAATTTTTTTGTATTTTTAGTAGAGATTTCAAAGTGTTCGCCAGGATGGTCTCAATCTCCTGATGTCGTGATCTGCCCACTTCGGCCTCCCAAAGTGCTGGGATTACAGGCATGAGCCACAGTGCCCGGCCGTGACTCTTATTTAAAAAAAATAACTTATGTGACATCCCCTCAATACTCAACGCTGGCCTGTGGAGATACTTTTGTGAATGAGATGTTGCTCTTTACAGATGTTGTGCTGTTTGCTATGAACTCTTTTATGATGATACTTGGCTACTACAGGAAAATCATCTTCACCATCTTGAAGTCTCCATCAGAAACAGGACAAGTCATAGGCTCCTCCACCTGCTCATCTCATGTCATAGTTGTGGCTTTATTCTGTAGATCCAGAATCATTACATACATATGACCTAAATCCAAACATTCTTCCATAAGATGCAAATTTTTATCTCTTTTCTATATCATTGTCAACTCAGTGTTTAACCTCATGATCTACAATGTGAGGAAGAGATTAAAAATGGCTTTGTGAAAATTCCTGCCTATTTAATGCATTAACTACTGATTTATCCATTTTCTCACTTAATTCTGCCATTATCTTATCAGAAATTGTTACCTTATTTTCCTGACTTAATGTTGGCTAATTTTGCTTTCTAATTACGGAATTTCTCATTTTATGCTGGACTTTCTGAAATCATAATTATAACCAAAGAGGTGGCAATTTCAATGAATAAGTTTTCAACAAACTTATATTTACTCCACAAGTCCTTGCACAAATTCATTAGTATCTTGGGATTATTTACTAAAAAACATAGTATGTCTTACTGAGGGAGAAGAAAAGGAAAAATCAGTTAGGTAAAAGGTTAAGGCTGGTCCTTGGAGAAGCAGCCTGCCTGAAAAATCACAGCTACAGGCAAAAATAGAGCAGCCTGGAAAAAAGTCAGACTGCACCTGCACAGATAAGAAGCACAGAAGCCTTTTGTTCTTTGTGTAACTGGTTTCCCCCCGCCCCCTTTTCAGGTATATACAGAGTGGGCTCCGTGGGAAGTTACACAGGGAGGAAGGGGGTTTACCTAAAACAAACCCACAGTTATACAAACAAGAGAAGCGGCGCTTTGTGCCTGCCTAGAGACATACCACAACTACATAGATAAGGGGGAGTTGTGCAGACAGATTTTCAGATTAAAAAAAAAGTCACTCAAACAGCTACAGAACTGAGAGGAGTTTCTTATAAAAGCTTTTGGATTCAACTGTAAAAACAGAAAAAAAACCACTTGAGCTTCCCTCTCCCCTGCAGAGAGCTTTCTTCTTTCACTCATTAAACTTTTGCTCCAACCTCACCCTTTGCGTCCACACTCCTTAATTTTCTTGGTGGTGAGACAACGAGCTCGAATAACACCTTAGACAATGAGAACAGTGACCTCGACCTGCTTCCTTGTCTAGCCATTCATATCTCAATATTTCCCCTAAAAATCATAGTGTAAATTCTTATTCCTCTCATCCTTTATATCATTATCATTAGCTTTTTAAAAATATGTCAACTAGTAAAGAGTACTGTATATGTTTGCTTTTTGGATACTATTTGTTGAATAACTATAGGCTTATATGTTTAGATGTTGTATATAATCTATACCTTCATGTTGCCTCTTCATGATTTAAAGAATAACCCACAGTAAAGACTAACAATAGAACCTCAGCCAAAGTGTTTCTACACTCATGATTCCAAATAGTACACAGAATGTTTAGGTTTCAATAAAAAAGAGATCTGTGTTATAATCTGAGTTGTAAACACCACACTTAAGTGAAAAGATGTTGAAATATGTATTTCTGCAATTGAGACCAAGACCAAGAAAAAGATGCTCCTTTTTACAGTTTTTATTAAATAATTCTACTAGAGATGGTAGATTATGCATTTTAAGAAAGAAAAAAGTCTGAGAAATTGGAAATAAATCTAATCACTGACAGAAGAGATAAACATATATATATAGAACATCTTTAAGAATCTAAAGATTATTAGAGTTAATAAATGAGTAAACATGTTTTCTCCATACAGTCAAAGATGTCAATTTCCCCCAATATGAACCACAATTGATTAAAATACAATGAAATCCTATTCTCTTTGTGTGTGTGTGTGTGTGTGTGTGTGTGTGTGTCTAATTTATCACCTGCTTCTAAAACTGTGGAAAGAAAACAGCTAATAGTAGCCAAGGCCTCTTGAAGAAGAGTAAAGAGGGAGGAATCACTTTACTGGGCATCAGGACTTATTTCAATATTATTTCAATGCTGCAGAAATTCTGACAGTGTGATATAATTTTACAGTACATAAAGGAACAGATGGCACATAATAGAGAGCGCAAAGCCCACTCAGCACATGGACATACTTAAATATGAAAAAAGTAGCGCTGCAGATTACTGTAGAAAGTATGTTTATTTAATAAGTTTTACTAAACTAATTAAATGTTTATGTATAAACAGGAAAGAAAAAAGTTCACCCTTACTTCACACTGTTTATTAAAACCATAATTTCAGGTAGCTTGTAAACCTAAATATGAAATATAGTACAATAAATATTTCAAAGCTTATGTATCTTATTTTCAGGATTTTGGCATGAGAAAAATATTTTAATACAGTTATTTGCTATAGTGGAAAACACTGATAAATTGAACTTCATTGGTTAAGAAGTTATCTTTCTCCAAAGAAGTAATTCAGAATAAAATTTTACAGTGCAAAGTGATTAAATCCACCATACTTAACGTGCTACCAATCAAAAACACAGAAAATTTGGGAGAAAAATTGTTAAGAAACATGAAGGGCACTTCACAAATGGCCAAGGAAAAAAAGACAATAATCCATTACTAACCAAATGATAATTAAAACCAGATGAGATCCATAATACTCCTATCAGGATGACTCAAATGAAGAGGGAATGATACAGAGAAAGAGAGGGAAAAGAACAAAAAGACATTGACCACACTGCTTGTATATAAGATGTGAAACAATGGGGACTCATACAATTCTGGCATGTAAATTGGTCCACCAATTTAGCAACCAGCCTGCCCCCATCCAGAGAACCCAACTGCTACGTCTCTACCCAGCAGAAATCTAATTGCTAGGTGTCTACCCAGCATGGAAGGGAACTCCTGCTAGAATGCTCATCTTAGCATGACTAAGAGTTGCAAATACTTATCGAATTAGAATGGAAAAATGATTGTGATAATTTCACAGAAGGGAAAATTAGAGAATGATCAAAATGTACAAACACAAACATGTACAACATCGATGAAGTGTATCATTGAGCAAAACAAGCTATATTCACTGTATATTTCCTTTTAAATAAGTACAGAAGTAGACAGTATATAAGGATGTCTGATAATTACAACACCATATGACTATATGTATATTATGCATATATAAAAAATATATTTTAGAATTAAAGTTATATAATGTAAATTAATATTTTAATATAAATTTTTATTACATAATATATAATTATATATATATTCCTACCTTTGATTTCCAAATTTTCTTTTACAAATGTATCATGTTTATAATGGAGAGAAACATCCAATACTCTTTAACATTTTTATATCATGTTGCTATTTTTGCCTGAAACAATTCAGTAAAGCAAATTTCCTTTTATCTTCTCCAAAAAATAACAATTGACAACAAAATATGACCTAAGTAATGTGACACTATTGAACCATTTTGAGAAATGAATAATAATTTCTATGAATAGATACACTTAAAAACCAAGCCATATATAATTTCCAACATTTAACACAAAGAAATAAACGACTTCACATCTAATTAAGATATACTAGATCACAGTAAGCTAGTGTTTTTTCTGGAAGCACTGGAAAAATCTGAAGAAATTATAATACTCATATTTAGTGGCATTCACTAGCTATGGAAGAAAAAACAATAGATAACACTGTTAAATTCAAGGCTGTCATTCAGAGAGAGAGAACTCACAAGATGGTTCGCACTTAGTTGGTTTGCTCTTTTTCAAGTATAAACAATACTCCAACATCCTGTTACTGAATAAATATTCATATGCATGCATGATTTATGGATTGATTCAAAGAGTAGACACACTATGATGTTAGTCAAAGATGCCATATTCCTACCTATATGTGGAATACATAATGTATAGGAGAATATCTTATAATTTTTTTAAACTGCATCAATGTACAGATTAATTTTTTATGAATGAAGTTGAGTATTTGTACCTATGATTGAGGGATAATTTTCCTCCCTTTTCTGTGAACTGTTACTTAAATTGTTTGGTCTACTTTACTATTTGTATTTTGGACTTTTCCTGGATATTTGAAGCATTGTTCAGAAGGGCAAATAGCACTTTACTGGAGATATACTTAGTATTTTTTTCATTCTATCAATACTATTTTACTTTACTTTAGGGCTCATTTCTTTTAACCATGCAAAATTATTTATTTTTACACATTTTTTTAAATTGTGTTCTACATTCTAACATTTGGGTCATTGGTAGATTAACTTTCATTGCTCCAGAATTATAAAAATTTTTGCTTAGATTGCTATTATTTGCTTTCATTGTTTTACTTTCTAAAATACCTAAACTTGTATATGATTTAAAGTTTATCATATTGTAGTATGAACTATGAATAAAATGTGTTTTTTTTCCTGAAATGTTCCCCAGGTATCCCAATAACGTGTATTTTAAATGTCAAAATTTCATAAATTTGGTATGCATTATTTATTAGGCAATACATTCTCATTTGTATTTGAGTCTTTTTTTTCCTTGGTTTCCTATTCTATGGCATCAGAAAATATCTCTATCTATGTCAGTACTACACTGTCCTTACGTTGAGACTTTAGAAATCTTTTTTCAGCTTAGCTACCTGTTACCTGTGCGCCTGAAATAGTTCAGCTATGGCTGGCATCTCAATATTCTGCTTTGCTTGGACACGTCTGGCTCCCCTTTGAGGTATCACTACCTGTTCCTCACCTCCCATGGTCTCTGGCACATGGCTCCTGATACTTTGTAATAAACTTTCCTGATTCCTATTTGTTATCACAGTAATATAGAAGTTCCTCTCTTGGAAATATTTTCTATTAATTATCAAAACCACTAGAAATAACCATTTACTAAATATATAATACGAAGCAACATTGATTAGTGACATGAGAAACCCGACTTCAAGACAAGATTCTTAAACTACCTAATTCAGGAAAAAAAAAATTGTTATTCACAAATTGAAGCCTGGAAGAGACAGAGAGCTTTCCTGGTGTCTTTACCACTATCTCAGCTGGACTTATTCCAGATTTTGATTTTATCCTAAGTAAAGATTTGTTTTTTGTAACAGATTGTTACAACTGTTACACAGGCTTACCACAAATCTGGATCAGGGAAATCATTTTAGGAAGACAAAATTACAAATAAAACATATTTAAGTGCTCAGTTTAATAGGAACAGAGGCTCCATATTAAGTAGAGTAAAGCAGTAACTGGGAAAAATTAAATAAAGCAATTTAGTGGATGCAAAAGATACACCGAAATTTTAATTATAAATCAAAAATTTTAATGTGTCAGGCAGGAGAGGTCCTAAGGTAGAGATAACTGCTATAGTTTTATTTAAAGAGCGTTTTATGTTTAGAAAGAGTGGAATGTTTTCAAAGTGGGTTGAATATGTTTGATGTACAAGTGCTTCACCAAAAGTAATTTAAATATCTAAATATTTAAATCCTCTACAGTGAGAAAAACATCAGCATCAACCTATATAAGAAAAGTAAATATGAACTGTTTTATACTGATCTGAAGGTTCTGTTTATAATATTTGAAAATTCAAAATTAATATTTAACTTGTAGCAGGAAATGTATTATTATGTTAAAGCAGTTCTAACGTATCCTTCCTGATGTATAAAGAAAAATGATGTTAGAAATCTTATCTGAAAAGCTGTTTTAGGGGGAACAATTGTGAGGCACAAACAGTGCACAACATTTAACATAACGGGCTAATATCTTTTCTCCTCATGCCCAGCACACCTACTCACAGGTATCATCTATGCCACATAAGCTATTTCTGTTTCCCCCAGCCATACTCCCTTTATTATTTCAACCTGGATCCATGTTCCCAGGCTACTTTTTCTGAATAAAACTCTCCTATATTCTCCACTTAGTATCATACCAACAGATACTGTTTTCTTCCTCTAAGTGCAATAAGTCATTCTCTCATTTTGTTATTGTTGTTGTTGTTAAACTGCCTAACAACATGAATGCTATGATAAGGATAGCTATGGTCAAATAAAGTGATGAGAGGGAAATGGACAGTTGGCATAGACAGGTAAGAATTCAGGAGATAAGGCAATCGATGATATAGTGCTACTGAATCATGATAGAGAAAAATTACAGAGAAGTTGTACTAGTCTGTTCTCACGCTGCTAATAAAGATATACCTGAGACTGGATAATTTATACATGAAAGAGGTTTAATTGACTCACAGTTCCACATGGCTAGGGAGGTCTCACAATCATGGCAGGAGGCAAATGAGGAGCAAAGTCACGTCTCACATGGCGGCAGGCAAGAGAGCTTGTGCAAGGAAACGCCCATTTTACAAAACTATCAGATCTCGCAAGAGTTATTCACTACCACAAGAATAGTAAGGGAGAAACCACCCCCATGACTCATTTATCTCCATCAGGTCCTGCCCTTGACACATGGGGATTATTACAATTCAAGGTGAGATTTGGGTGAGGACACAGCCAAGCCATATCAGAAGTAAAATAGAATTTTCAAGAAAAGTAAATAAACAGATCATATGGAAAAGCTGTGGGCCTTCAGCAGTTGCAGTGCTTATGCTGAGTAGGGTAGTTTGGTTCATCCTGGGCTGTTTTCAGAGATATAATGGCATAATTCTTTTTATTTATTTATTTATTTATTCATTTATTTATTTGAGATGGACTCTCGCTCTGTAGCCAGGCTGGAGTGCAGTGGCATGATCTTGGCTCACTACAACCTCCACCTCCTGGGTTCAAGCAATTCTGCTGCCTCAGCTTTCTGAGTAGCTGGGACTACAGGTGTGCGCCACCATGCCCAGCTAATTTTATTTTATTTGTTTTAGTAGAGACGGGATTTCACCATATTGGCCAGGATGGTCTCGATCTTTTGACCTTGTGATCCGCCCTCCTTGGCCTCCCAAAGTGCTGGGATTACAGGCCTGAATCACTGCGTCCTGCCCATAATGGCATAATGCTAAAGAAACTTCAGGGACCCGGCGCAGTGGCTCATGCCTGTGATCCCAGTGCTTTGGAACTTCAAGATGGGACTCTTGAGGCCAGAAGTTCAAAGCCAGCCTGGGCAACTGAGACCCTGTCTCTGTAAAAAAACATGGAGAAGGAGGAGAAAGAGGAGGAAAAAGAAGAAGGAGAAGAAGAGGAAAAGCCAAGAGTGGTGATGCAGGATTCATAGTTCTAGCTATTCTGGGGACTGAGGCAGAAGGATCACTAGAGGCCAGAAGTTCAAACTTACAGTTAGCTGCTATGATTGTGCCACTGGATTCCAGCCTGGATGACAGAGTGACACCCTGTTTTCAAAAAATAAAAAATAAAAGTAAGAAAATCAAGAAACTTTAGAGGCATGTGTACAGTGATAAGCTATTGGTTCTGACCTGGAAAAGTGGGAAGTACATGAATAGTTACATTCTTATATTGGAAAAAATTGCAGTTATTATAAAAATTGATGTGGATGTCCTGATACATTTAGAGAACAAGTATCCATCTATAGAGGCAAATTGAAAAGCACATGTTAAATTTACCACTTACATGGATGAAATACCAGCAAAAACCACAAGAAAAAAACCTAACTGAATGGAACTAAATTGATGAAACTTATTCTCTTGGGCTGTGCTGATGTTCCCCATCTCCAGTGGTATTGATGTAGAATTTTTCTTGGCCCCTTCACTGGACTCAGGGAAGAAACACCCCACCTATTCGGTCTGCTGTGCTCAACTCCTTGCTGGAGGGAACATGTGAGCGAGCAAGTGCAGGATCCATCCAGTCACTCTGAGTGTCAACAGAGAAGCAAGCACCATGCAGGACCCGTGGCTAGACCAGGCATGTTGCCTCAAGGGGAATGTGGCAGCACCCAGGTGAGAGTGCCTGTGACCCCAAAGCCCCAGAGAGGGTGTTACAGTGCTCCTTTAATTCTACCATCCACGGATAGCAGTATGTTAGCAGCTCAGTTGGTCCCTTGCCTCATCACGTGGGGTGGCTGCCCTCCACTGGTGAAGCAAAGGGCTAGTGTGACAGCCTTTTCTGGTATGGTGAGTCCTGACTCTTGTCCAGCATCTGGAAGAATGAGGCACATGGTTCATTGAAGGATGGTGAACCTGGAGAACTTTATTGAGTGATGAAAATGGCTCTCAGGGGAGAGGGGAGCTGGAGAGGGTACGGGAAGGGCAGGTCATCTTCCCTGAAATGAGGTTGTCTCTTCCCCAAAGTCAAGCCAGCTTCTTCTCTACCAAGTAACTCTGGGGTCTTTATAAGCACAGTACGGGGAGTGTGTGCTGATTGGTTTGTGAGTGTGCAAAAGAGGTCAAAGCAAAGACATCACTCAAATGTGGGCACAACAGTGTAGAAAACCAATTAGGAAAGGGAAAGTATATGTAAAATAGGTGAAGTATGGGGATCAATCAGTGGAAAGTATGCCAAACAGGAAGACAAGTTCTCAATCCAGTCCAAGGACTTAACTTGTAGCTTGGCTTTCAGGCTTTAAACTGTCTTTGGCTTGGAGGTGGGGTTTCACAGGGTACCTGCCCCTATCTGCCTAGGCATTTGGCTACCTTCTGTAGCTATTAGACAGTGGTACCATTGTTCTAATAACAAAGCTGGACCTTAGTCTCCAAACACCTATTTTTTTTTGGCAATTTTTCCTTCTTAGAAATTTGTTATCTGTCAGTTACTCTCCCAAGAATGCTCATTAATCTTGGGACCCAGAGTGGAATAACCTCTTTAGTTGCCTGGGCTACACAAATGTGCCACTTTCTTATACTGGGAGCCACAGAGTGCTTCTTTCTGGCTGTGATGGCCTAAGACCGCTATGTGGCCATTTGTAACCCTCTGCACTATCTTCTCTTCATAAACCATGAGGTCTGTACCCAGATGGTGGCTGGCTCCTGGATCACTGGAACTCCTGTCTGGATAGTGCAGACATTCCAGGTTTTCTCTTTGCCATTTTATGGTTCCAAACAAATCAAGCACCTGTTCTGTGACATTACCCCAACACTTACACTGTCCTGTGGGAACATGTTTTTGAATGAGATGAATCTCTGTATAGGTACTGTGTTTCATGTCCTGGCTCCATGTCTGTTGATATTTATCCCTGGCGGCAAAATTGTCTGCACAATCTATAAATGGCCATCAGCTACAACTACGAGTTGTGTCAAAGTTTTCTCCATCTGTTTATCTCATCTCATAATTGTGGCATTGTCATTTGGATAAGGCTTCATTACATACTTAAGACCCCAAACCCGTCATTCAGCAGGAACTGACAAAATGCTTTCTCTTTTTCGTACTATTGTGACTCCATTATTAATTCCATGACATATAGTCTAAGGAATACCAATGTGTAATGGTCTTGAAAAAAAAATCACTATCATGATCTTGTTTTCTTATATATCTAAATTGAAATTTCAAAAGATATATGTTTTTAGCTGTATTGGATTTCTTATCTGTATCTAGAGTGGTAAGTATTTTCAAATTAAACTTATTTTTAATTTTGAGAGATGTTTCTATCTTAGGTTATAACAGCAATGTATGTGTCAACAAATAGCAAATCATTCCACTGGTAATTTTATAATTTTTTTGTGCAATTTCTTCTTTTAGTAAAATCTTTTGACAAGGACTGATGTAATAGACTCAGTTGTAATAGGAACTCTATTATATGCTGTCGTGGATATCATATCATGCATTTCCATAGATTCTTAACAGTCCTTTATAAGGCAGGTTGAAATAGATGTTATATGCATATATACACACACTTACATACATTTTCACCTAGCATCGACTGTCCAGAGAAATCACTTCTTAGGGAAAAAGTACCTTTTTTTGGTAATGTACTTTCACAAATGATGTTGTTATATAAGAGCAGTAAATATTAAGCATAATTTATGTATAAATCAGACTAAACATTTCTACATGCTATAACTCTGTAACTTGATAAAATATAAATTTTATTAAAATATATGCATATAATAAAAACTTGAAGAAATAAGTGTGGAGAAATTAACAATTTTAATTGAATATTGACAATTTTTTTTCTAAATATATTTTCCTGGAGATGATACAGTGATAGGAAAATTAGAAAAGATAAAATAAGTTTTATAAGAATATCTACTATAAAATAAAAGATACCACACATGTACCTTGTACAACACATATATACACAGCAGTCAACAGACATAGGAAAAATGCTCCAAATCACTAATCATCACAGAAATGCAAATAAAAACCGCAATGAGATACCATCTCACACTAGTCAGAATGGCTTTTGTTAAAAAGTCAAAAAACAACAGATGTTGGTGAGGCTGCAGAAAAAAAGTGAACTCTTATACAATGTTGGTGGGAATCTAAATTAGTTCACCCACTGTGAAAAGCAGTTTGGAGATTTCTCAGAGAAATTTGAACTACCATTTGACCCAGCAATTCCACTACTGGATGTACCTCCAATAGAAAACAGATTGTTCTACCAAAAAGACACAAGCACTTGCATGTTCATTGCCACACTATTCACAACAGCAAAAACATAGAATCAGCCTAGATGCCTGTCAACACTGGATTGAATAAAGAAAATGTGGTCCATATACAATATGGAATACTACACAGTCATAAAAAGAATGAGATCATGTCCTTTGCAGCAACATGGGTACAGCTGAAGGCCATTATCCTAAGCAAATTAGTGCAGGAACAGAAAACCAAATATTGCATGTTGTCACTTATATGTAGGAGCTAAACATTGGGTACTCATGGACATAAAGATGGAAATAGACACCGGGAAATACTAGTGAGGGGAAGGTTTGAAAAACTAACTGTTGCCTACTATGCTCACTACCTGGGTGATGGGACCATTAATACTGCAAATCTCAACATCATGTGATATACCCAGGTAACAAACTTGCACATGTATCCCTGAATCTAAAATAAAATCAAAGAAAAAGAAAATGATGAATGAAAATATAATAGTATTCATTATAGATAATATAGAGTAAAATATTCTTTTACTTTTTGTTTTATAGAAAATTTTCAGTATACTACAGTTAACCTGTGTTATCATTGTAATAAGTAAAAGCTAACAATAAATATTGATTCTTTGTTGGTAAAGAAAATGGTAATAGTTGCTTGGGCTATAACCCTATTAATTTTGATATAATTAAACTTGTTCTTTTTTAGTATTTCATGTTTTTCTAATGAACTTTTCATATATGAAAGCAATAAATTTCTGAGAAGCCACTATCACTAGGATTTATATTTTAAAAAGACTGTTACAGAGTTTGCATCTGCTTGAAAAGCTTTTGCCCATAAGTAAATAAAGTCAGTTCTGATCACATTTATTTGTACATACCTAACTCTAGCTAGATAGGCCCTAAATATAATAACAAATACCCTTATAAGAGGGTTGCAGAGGGAAATTTGACCCATAAAAATCAGAAGAAGGCAATGTGGTCACAGAGGTAGAGATGAGAATGATGAAGACACAAGCCAAGGAATGCCAGTATTCACCAGAAGCTGGAAGAAGCAGAGAACAAGTTCTCCCCTGGACCCTCTGGCCACAACACAACACTGTGGACACCTTGACTTTCCATAAGTAAAATTCATTTCCCACTTTTAGTCTGTAGACTTGTAAAATAAGAGATTTATTGTTTTAAGCCATTAAGTTGGTGGTGTTTGGTTATAGCAGCTGTAGGAAACTGATGTTCATTTTAGTTCTATCCCCCAAGAAATAGGATTCTGATAATTCGGATGATTCTGATGTTAATTCTGTTTATAAATAACTACAAGAACAGTTTTTATATTTTATTTTCACGTTGAAAATCAGTCAGATTTGCTTCAGCCTCGAAGAGCGTGTTTATGTAAAATTAAATGAGCACGGGCAGCGAGCTGCACTATTTTTTCCTAAATGTGAAAAGGTTAAACTGCTTTCTTAGAAAGGATGACTTAGAGAACAATAACAGCAAGAGCCCAGATAACAAGAGCAAGACACACACACACACATATGCAATTATTAGCAGGCCATGAAAACTGAAAATTTGCGGGGGGTTGGGGGGCTGGGTGTTGAACAATTGTAGCAGACCAATGACTTCTTTGCATTGTGTATTTTAAGACGTCCTGCCAGCAGGTCTTCTTTTCCTGCTGACTTTGATGGAAAAGGCAGTAATGTTGGGGAACAATGAGACAGGGAACTGAGGACAGCGGTTAGGAACTGAGGGCCAAGCCAGACCCAGCGATTCTTGCCTGTAGTCCCAGCTACTCCAGGGGCTGAGGTGGGAGAATGGTTTGAGTTCAGGAGTTTGAGGGTACTGTGATTGCACCTATGACTAGCCACTGCACTCCAGCCTGGGCAATTTTGTCTGCTACAAAAACCGGAAAACAAACAAACAGTAACAAAGGAACTGAGGGCCACATCCTCCAACCAATACTCAGAAAAATGAGGCTCTTATTTCTACAATGGCAAGGTAATTTGGCCAACAATCTCATGGATCATGGAAATAAATCATTTCCCAATCTTGCATTGAGATCATGCCCAGCCCCAGGCAAGTCTTGTGGAGGGCCCAGCTAAGCTGCGCTAAGACTCCTGCCCCACAGTAACTGTGGTGTTGATAAACAGGTATTATTTCCATCCTCTAAGTTTTTGACAATTTGTTACTTTCAGAAAGTACATTAAACTGTAATGTTCTCTCTTTTTGTAAAGTTCTCGGGTTTTGGTTTTAGAGTTATACTGGTTTCATACAAGTATGAAAATATACTATTTGTTTGATTTTTCATAATTTGAAATTGTTTACTGCTAAAATATTTAGAACTCACCATAGAAGTTTGGGTGGCTGGTAATATGCTTGTGAGACAGTTTTTAAGGATATATATTTTTCTGAATAGAGGATAATAGTTTAAGTTTTAAATTTTATCTTTTCAAGTTGAAATTCCGATGTGTCAAAATCCATTATTTTGTGATGAGAAATCAACTATCATTTTAATGTTTGTTTCATTTGATGGTGGTCTATTTATAGCTGTTGTTGTTTTGCTTTTTTCCCTTTCTTAACTATTATTTACCTAGATGAGATTTATTTTGCAATTATTATCCCTTCTGTACTTTGGGAATCCTAGAACCAAGAATTTATGTATTTTATCAATTTTAGTCTCAGATACTATTTCTTCAACCGTTATTAACAATATTAGTTTGCCCACTCTCACAATTATATGTGTGCTAAGTCTCTTGATATTTTGCCAGATAATTAAAGTCTTGGATCTGGGATCTTTTTAAGTTTACTATTATTTTTTCT
The DNA here is from genome assembly GCF_000001405.40 of Homo sapiens. Classification (NCBI taxonomy): domain Eukaryota; kingdom Metazoa; phylum Chordata; class Mammalia; order Primates; family Hominidae; genus Homo; species Homo sapiens. The sequence goes on along the minus strand of NC_000011.10, from coordinate 55,944,239 downwards.
CTGTGCATCAGATTGGAGAACTTATATTGACTGATATACAGGTATTTATTTATCTATTTTAATATGTTCAGCCTAATATTAGGTCTATTAAGTAAACTTTTTATTCCTCATGTTATTTTCACTTTTAGAATTTCTATGTGGTTCTTTCTTTTAGTTTTTAATTATCTGCTAAAATTTTCCACCTGTTAACAAATGCTATTTACTTTTTTCTAGTTGTTTTAGTTTATTTATCACAGTTATATTTTACTTCTTTATCTAATCATTATTACATCTTAATTATTTGTGTTATTATCATATTAAAATTTTTTTCTTTATTAGGGAACATTTCCTGCTTCTATATGTATCTCCTATATTTTTCTTCATTTTATGCTTGATATTTTGTGTAAAACAAGAGTGAAGATTCAGGTAGATAATATTTGTCTTCAGAATCATGTACCTTTCTCTGACTAGCTATTAGAATGAGGTGCTAAGTCAAATCTGTAGCTGCATTTTCTCTAGGCTTTGTTGCAGTTTCAATCAGGATTCCTTTACCCACTGACTCTAAATATTGTATTATCTATACATAGTAAAGTGTTAAAGATATTTTCTTCTCCAGTGATTTGTCTGGTAATAATAATCTTGTCAGTTCTTTCATGCTTTTGAATAAATTAAAAATGGCTTCATACAACATTTTTATTTGTTTCCAGTAAGAGTGTTGGTATGAGTATCATAGGGTGCCATATTTCCAAAAGAAGAGTCCTCTTACAAGGTATTTTGTTAATTCATGTGAACTAGATTTTGCTTTGACCATTTCTCCAGGACTGATTTATAGTTAAGTTACCCTTACCTTTTACTAGTTTGATATGTATCTAGAATATAATTTCAATTTTAATTAAATTACCTTTTAACTAGTCCATCAGAAAATTAATTCATCCTATAGAGGTATTGATAACAAGGGCAGGGCTTGTATAGAATTGGGTCTTTTTGTTTGAGGATGGTTTACTGGGACCTGAGGATAAGAGTATCACGTAAAATAGAAGTGATAGGCTATTAAAATAATAGAAGAGTTTCTTAAAAGAAAATAAATCTATCTATACACACACACACACATATATATATACACACATACACACACGTATACACAGTGAGAAGCAGAATACTGTTAAGAGAACTTTATTACAAGAAATATCTCCTAAACCCTGAAAAATTAGGGGATTTTTCAGGATATAAACTTGTTTACTAAACAGGTGGTTATGTAATTGTCTCTGGTGCCATCTAGTGTGTGGAAATTGTAAAACTCTGTAGGTTATGTAGCAAACGGACAGCACTTTGAGATCATTTATTCCTAAGCAGTCCCAATGTGAAAGAGTAATTGCTATAGAAAACCAGTTTCTTAAGGCTGGTTCAAGGTGGGTATTCTAAGTATTTGGATAGCAGCATATATTTTTCTGATAACCTTCTATACCACATTAGTTGCAAGTTTCAATATCTTAATAAAAACCCTCTTGACTCACCTAACTTTCCATCTGGTTCCCTGTATTCTTATAGTCAATGTACTGTTAAATCCATTCAATAAGTTGTTCATTCTAGATATTGCATTTTTCAATTCCATTTAACACTTTTCTATGGCTTCCAATTTCTTTGGGGATCTCTTCACTCTTTTGTCATTGTCCAATTCTGTTTTAAAATAGCATTTTCTTAAATATATTATAATTAAAAACAAAAAAAAGTTGCTTGCCAATTTCAATTTGTGAGTCAACATGCATTTCAGCTTTTTAAATTCATGCTTATTCATTATAAGGACTTGCCTATTTTTATATTTAGTAATTTGTTTCTTATTGCATGCCAAATAGTGACTACAAAAAAAAAAAAAAAGATATTCCCGAAGATTTCTTTCACCAGAGCGTTCAATCCTCTCTGTAATGAAGTTAAGGCTGATAAACTTAATCCGATCAGAAAACAATTAGGGTTTGATCATACTTATTGTTTCGGTAAGGTGCGGTATACCTCCAGTTCACCCTATGTCTAAGGCATGTTCCTTCCAGCTTGCACTTAAGAACTTGGACTTTCTATGGCTCCTCAACAAGAAGAGACTACAAGAATGTCCACTCTTGTGTTTTCAGAGGTTTCTGGCATCTTCAATCTAACATTACACACAGCTTTAAAATTTGGCAGATCTTGTGGAAGGAAGATAACTGTATTTGAGGCCCCACATGTATGCAGTTTGTGCACTCTAATCCCATGCAATTACCGCAATTTCTGCATGTTTTACAGACTCCAACTGATATAGTTTGGCTGTGTCCCCAAGTCACAATTCCTCCTGGGTTTTATATTTTCTTTAATTCTCAGAATGCAAATCCACTGCAGTTCTTTATGTCCTTAACACTAAGAGATTTGAGAGAATACCAGTTTGTTTTTCCAATATTTTCTATGTCTTTAGTTTATTACATGCCAAAATTTGAATTTAAAATATCGTGAATAGGAAGTCCTTCATTTGTTGGAGATCCTCCCATCAGTTTAGGTATTTCAGCACTACATAATTGCCAAAAACTGTGGACAAACCCACGTTCTATCTCTTACTCATACTCATAATTGATAAATACCTGCAGGGACATATGCAGGTCTTCAGCTGACTTCTAACTAGTTATACCTTTTTTTGAATTATACTCATTCTAGTACATGTGATGAGTGTATACATATGATGCAAAATCTAATTCCCCAAATATCATCAAAATAACAAGTTCATAAGAAAGCCATTTATTGTTTACCTTGGTAAGGGCTAATACAACCTCAAAAAGTTTTGACAGTGTCTTGGGGTAAGGAAAGGCAGGAAAATAATTTATTAATAATTGGACATTTGTTTTGAGTTTTTCCAAGCAAAGATTTGATTGGATTAGATCAAGATATGGCAGTCCAAGTTAATGGAAATAGAAGGCAAGGGCTTTGAAGCAAGGAATTGAAACAATCTAGGGAATAAACTTTCTTTCTGCTGATGTTTCTCATTGAATAATCCATGGGGTGTTCAGAAAATATTTGTAATGAGCAGCCAAAATATTTGCCTAGGCAAAATCTCTAAAAAAAAAATAAATAAAAACTAGGGTGTGCGAATGAAAATAAAGGAACTTCAGAGTCATAATAATGCGACTTCAGGTGTGTTTTTCATTCTTACCTTCTAGGTTGTGTATAGGGATAGACAGTTTCAGGTCTCAAAGATAATTATAATTTATTCCTTTTTTTCCCTGTAAATTCTCAGTGGAAGTGATAAACTATAATTAATTATTATATCCTACCTGAAGTGGTAGTCTCATAATTTTTAAAATATCTTTTTAAATAGAGATAACAGAGGCTATTTAATTATGTATATACTATGTATCTTTCTTCTATCAGTAATCCATACATGGCAGAAACCTGATCAGTTGACTATAAACCCGATCAGTTGACTATGCGATTAGCTTATATCAGATAATATAATGTTACATGTACCAGAGCCAAATTATCTTCAGTGTCTTCTCAGACCTAACACTAGCAGCCACTATCGTACTTCTATCTTCCAGTTGATCTGATGTTAAAAAGAAAAATCTCAACTATGTCTATATACCTAAAACCTGTGGTTTTCTAGAATACTTGAATAATAAGTACAATTGACTTATGTCATGTGAAATTTTCCCTTCCATCTTTCCTTGCCCTCCATGTCTCTTGGATACTAAGTCAGGGAAATTTAGAATCACAATAAAGAGTAGTGCAAAGTCCAAGAATTAAATAGGGATTGCAAGTGTTCTTCTGCAGAGACAACGCTACAGATACTGGAGAGAATAGTCTCTTCTTACAACCGTCTTACAGGCTTAGACCTCTGCCCACAGATTCTCATAAATCACTCAACCATTAGAATATTATATTATCACTTTCCTTTCCGAAGAGTAGGATTAGCAAAAGAGAACGGTTACTTTTTTCCTTTAATGAATGAAATTATAAATAATTAATTTTTAAAATTTAAATTTGTGATTTCTAAAGAAGTATATTCAAAAAACTAGATTTACGGAGTAAATTTTTAAAATGTTTTTCAAATAACTTCATTACCAAAATGATAATTACCTCAAAATTTTTTAAATGATAAATTCCTTGTATGAGCATATTATACTAAAATGACAAACTCTCATTTTTTCTTTATAGAGTTAACTTTCAGTTCACCAACCCTATCACTATATTTTCCTAAATCACAAAATAAGTTCAGTATTGTGTGCAGTTATATAGAAGGATCATACCACAAATAAAGAGGAAATATGAATTCAGATTTGAGCTCACAGTAACTGAGATTTTTTTTCAATAGTTAGAATGTACACAGTGGATTGAAGTTGTGAAATTATTTTCCTAAAAAATAATTAAGCTGAGGCTTCTGACCATGTTTTAGTAGGTTCATAAATGGATTTTTGCAATGGATATAAGTTTTAAGAAGATTTCCTCTGTGATACTCCAGATATAGGCATGATAAATAAACCTGCATTATACTGTGAAAATAAAGAGACTATAATTGGTGGGGCTGCACTAATTACAATTAGCTATTAACTACAGTTGTTTGAATGAAGCTATCTTATACAATGTATATCAGAATAATGAAGTTGATGATGACAACCTGTGTTTACTGAGATGACCTTGCCATTGTCCTGATACATTTTGGTACCAGGTGTTATAAAGTCCTCTGTCTTGTCAGAAAACATCTGGTGATACTAAGCTCTACAGAAGCTTTCAATGCCACAAAAATAATTCATTAATTTTCAGTACTAGTAATCATAAATAATATTTTTAGAGTTTCCATGTGGTTTTTGAGAAATTTAAATGGCAGTAGTTACAGTTTTAAATATTTGAACTATTTGTAAAGAACCTCCACAATAAAGACGGTCCTTTGTAGAATGCCAAGTGTTAAAAACAACCTCCTCGATATTACTGAAAATGAAAATTACCTCTTCAAATTAACACAACAGCATTTCCATGAAAATTATGAATGTGTTTCTAGAGAAAATATTTACATTGGCAATAAGCCTAGTAACTATTCTCTAGGAGTCTCTCAGAAATTAACATGCTTGGAATCCTTCAATTACTAGGTCCCCAGTGACATAAGAATTCATGTAAAAGCCCTTGGTTGTATTGGTGAAATTATTCCCTTAAGCAACTTGCAACAGTTCCTTCCTCAGTAAGTAGCTTCTGCGGTTATTGGACTGGCTTTAATCGTGCAAAAAAAAAAAAAATCAACTTTTGTTGGTCTGAGAGCAAGAACCACTGATTTGAGTACAAATAGTTTTGAAAGTACATTTATCATTCAATATTGTACTGACAAGGTAATCTATCTTTTATCACCCTTTCTGATATAGCTTCCACAGGGTCTAAAATGTCTTTTGTTTAAATAAGCCTTTTGTTACTGATAGGAGAACCAAAGCATATCTACCTACCTTATAACTTGAATTAACTTATTTTATAACATAAGATTGTTTTGTTATGTTTGGAAAGAACTTATTGAATCATAGTATGTTAGTAAGATTTATTTGTTAATTCCCTTTTAAAAAGAAGAATCCAAGAATCACTGTCTTTTCCTACCACTATCCTCATGCCTCTTCTCTTCCTTTTAATATTTCTCTAAATAGAATTTTTTGACTATCAGAAGGAATGACCAATGTGAAGTTGCCAAGAATACATGCCCCACATTTTTGGGAAGTATGCGAACCATAGAATGGTCATACTGTTAATATTCTCCCCGTCCTCATGCTTGCTTTCATGGGCTTTGATTTCATACACCCCTGAGTTTGAATTGCACTGGTCAACTACATGTTGAATGACCTTGAGATACTATCCTAAGCATTAATGTTCTCATCCAAAATATGGAGCTAATAAAAAGAATCCTGTTTATAGAGAACCAGTGTATCATGTGGCTTTGGAGTCAGAATTTTGGGTTCTAATCCTGTTTCCATCACATCCTAAATCTCAAATTCTCTCTTTCTTAGTTTCCTTCATCTGTAAGAAAAAGATCATAATGATAGTAACTCCATGGTAATTTTGTTAGTTTTTTGGTGACAATTAAATGAGTTATAGGTGAAGTGTTAAGAATATTGCATTACACATAGTAAGCATTATACAGGTGACAATTATTGTTAGTAAAATTTGACAGGTAGCTCTAGTCATAATCTAAGAATAAAATGGCAGCGTGGCAATCAAAACTAATTTTTGATGTTATCTACTGTATGTCAGTCTCCCTAAAGAATGACACATGGAAAGATAAGTAGGTAGATAAAGGGACAGAAAGGGGGGGCAGAACATTTTCCCTATTTAATCCATACAGAAACACTATGAGATATTTATTATCATTGTTGTAGTATAGATTAGGATAATTTATATTAAGTGGCACAAGGTCACACAGCCCCCATGCAGCCAAGATGGGCATCTAATCAAATTCCTCCTAAATCGAAGTGATGTCTTATATTGTCTAAATACCTTGACTATTTTCAAACAAGCAAAATGAGAATAACCACTGTCCTGCTGTAGTGCTGCATCTCATTCACACGCTTTGAGGTGATAACATAAGGCAGCACTTTGAGCACGTGATTAACCCTTCTGATTATCAATAGGCTTCTCAGTGTTTATGTCATTGGGTAGTTTTATTGCTTACATGAGATAAATAAATTGTCTTTAGCACTGTCATTGTCATAATATCTATTATGTAAATGAGGCAGTGACTCAAATATTTTTAATTCCCATCTTGGCCCTCTCAACATGAACTTTAGAGATTGATGCTTTGCTTGCTTTTTTTTGTTGTTGTTTTGTTTTTTACGTATTTCCAAGTCTATCCTTCATGGTCAAAATCAAATTATTTGTACTTCAAAGTCAAGTTAAAAATTTTTATAATTCTGTAAGTATTTTGAGACCTCAGAAGCAGTGTTTAACAGATTTTTCTGACTCAACACTTTGTATTATACTACCATAACAATAAATGCAACAATTGTTCTTTACTTATAAAATTTAATCAGTGATGATGCCATATATAGTAATGTTATTTAATTGCAAGTTAACATATAACTAAATGTTTTGCTGACTGTACTTGGTCAGTCCACTAATGTTTAATGAGCATTTCCAGGAAGCCAAGGAGTTCGATAAATGCCAGAAGTATTGAAACAAGTAGTTAACTAATTTTATCAGCTTAGTTTAGTATGTGAACAGGGTTTATGGAATTACACTAAGCTCTTTTCTGTCAAAAATATCCTCAGAGCTGGTATTTACTGACATTTGTTTTTATTTCGCTAAAGCTTCTGCTTTACAGTAAAAAAAAAATTAGCCGGCATATTTCATCACACCACTCTATTTACTCAGTCAAGAGACACAGCATACCGGTATCTATCAAATCCTGAAAACAAGAAGCAGATGTTCTAAAATTCTTATTCAAAGGAACACTCTATAAGTCAGTCCATTTTTAATAATATACATATTTTCTTTACTTAATGTGATCATCAGTCTGTTCATTAATTTATTACTTTTTTAATACTCTGGGCCAGTAATTGTTTAATATTTTGGGTGCAAAATGGTAAGCCAAATCAGACATGATCCATGCACATAGGAAGTCAACTGTTCAATGGAAGAAATAGTAATCAAATAAAATATAACCTGCAACCATGAAATATGATATTACTAAATTCTGAAATATATTTCTCAGAGTTTATAGTTCAAAAAAGTTTGAGCTTGCTTTCTTTATCTTATTGCCATTTATTTATTTTTAAACAATAAAATAACTTTATAATTACATCTAATTATTTTTCTTTTTTCATCATTATAGCATTGTAGGGTATTAGAAATTCTCATAAAAGGAAAACAACACAGAAGATGGAATTTACAGATAGAAACTACACGTTGGTCACTGAGTTTATTCTATTAGGTTTTCCAACTCGCCCTGAACTGCAGATTGTCCTGTTCCTCATGTTTCTGACATTGTATGCTATAATTCTGATAGGGAACATTGGATTGATGCTGTTGATCAGGATTGATCCTCACCTTCAAACCCCCATGTATTTTTTCCTTAGCAACCTATCATTTGTAGACCTTTGCTATTTCTCAGACATTGTTCCCAAAATGCTGGTCAATTTCCTCTCGGAGAACAAATCTATTTCCTATTATGGGTGTGCCCTGCAGTTTTATTTTTTCTGTACTTTTGCAGATACAGAATCCTTCATCCTGGCCGCCATGGCCTATGATCGCTATGTCGCCATCTGTAACCCTTTATTGTACACAGTTGTGATGTCTAGGGGCATCTGTATGCGGTTGATTGTCTTGTCATACCTTGGAGGCAACATGAGTTCCCTGGTTCACACATCCTTTGCCTTTATTCTGAAATATTGTGACAAAAATGTTATTAATCATTTTTTCTGTGACCTCCCTCCCCTGCTTAAACTATCCTGCACTGACACAACAATTAATGAGTGGCTCCTCTCCACATACGGCAGCTCAGTGGAAATCATTTGTTTTATCATCATCATCATCTCCTACTTTTTCATTCTTCTCTCAGTCTTAAAGATCCGCTCTTTCAGTGGGAGGAAGAAGACCTTTTCTACATGCGCCTCTCACCTGACTTCAGTGACGATCTACCAAGGGACTCTCCTCTTTATTTACTCACGGCCCAGCTACCTGTATTCTCCAAACACTGATAAAATTATCTCAGTGTTCTACACCATTTTCATTCCAGTGCTGAATCCGTTGATTTATAGTTTGAGAAATAAAGATGTAAAGGATGCAGCTGAGAAAGTTCTAAGATCAAAGGTAGATTCTTCATGAGATAAAGCATCTCAAGATACATCTAATTTCTCAATCACATACTGTAATTGGGAACTTACAACAACCTTACCTGTACACACACACAACCTCTCACACTAGGGATTTTATCAAGCACTTTGTTTAATGCAGCCAAATGAATTTCATAGTCCTAAAATATTTTTAAAATCATTTAAAAGTTTCAAAGTTCCTGCTAAATGCTAGTTATACTACTTTTCAGTTATTACTAGCTTGAGATTTATGCTAAAATCAATTTCATCAAGCCATCTTAAGGGATATAGTAAATATTTCAGAAAAGTATGCATGCATGTACATGTGCGTATCTATCTGTAGAATATCTCAGTTATAAGTGTAGATTACTGGATAACTGGATAAGAAAATAAGTCAGATTGCTTTGATTTATATGCCAGATCTATACTTGGCTAGTGAGTGGCATATTGAATGAGTTGCTTAATTTTTCTATGCCTCATTTATCTGTAAAATGGGATGAATATTGCACATATGCTATTGATTGTTTGATGGTGAACAGAGTTAATACAGTTAAGAGCTGAGAATAGTGCCTGGACATTATATACACTTACATGTTTGTTATAAGATATGTTTTTATAATATCTCACACTAATTAAAATGCATGTAATAAAATAAGATGATAGAGGCTAGAATGTTAGAAAAGCAATCATAAAAAGCCAAATAATATTTTTTAAAATGCAGGTGATAACATGTTGATAACTTTCTACATCCAATGTATCATAAAGCAATTTGGAAACATTTTCTTAGTGGCTTGAGCAATATAGGTTAATTGCAATGCAAAATATTTGTTTTACTATCTCTTGTTTTTAAATACACCAATGTGTTACTGAATGTGAGGAACGTTCTTTGCTGGAATCTCAGAAAAAGAATACTATCTCTAATTTATTACACTATCGTAATTGTATCCTCATAGGGAGATCAATCCAGTACTGTGGTAGAAAACCATGCATGAAATGTGTGTTTGAAAATTCTAATTGAAGGATGTGTAGAAGTATGTGTATTATTACAAAATGTATTTCTGTAACTAATATTGTGTGCTGCAAATCATTATTATGTATGATAACTGTTTACAAGCTATGAAATGGAAATATGAAAGTTTACAGTTATGCAAGCATGTATCATTTTATTTCATTTCACAGATATTGTTTTTTTCTTCACAAATTAAAAGTTCAGGACCACACTGTGTTAAGCAAGTCTACTGGCACCAGTTTTCCAACATTATGTTCTCATATCATGTCTCTGTGTCACATTTTGGTAATTCTTACAATGTCTCAATCTTTACATTATTATTTTATCTATTGTGAAGATCTGTGATCAGTGATCTTTGATGTTACTATTATCATTATTTAGGGGCACAATGGACTGTACCCATAAAAGACAGTGAACTTAATTGATAAATGTTATATACATTCTGACTGCTCTGCCAACTGACCTTCTGGCTCTCTCCCTTTCCTTTGGCCTCCCTATTTCCTGAGACACAACTATATCAAAAGTAGACAAGTTGCAATTAACCTTGCAACGGCCTTTAAATGTTCAAGCAAAAGGAAGTATTGCACATCTCTCACATTAAATAAAGAGTTAGAAATAACGAAGCTTAGTGAGGAAAGCATGGCAAAAGACAAGTTAGGCTGAAAACCTGTGCCAGGATAACTGCCACATTGTGAATAGAAAGATAAATTCTTGAAGGAAATTTAAAATGCCACTTCAGTGAACATGAGTGATAAGAAATAAAACACTCTTATTGCTGATATGGGGAAAATTTCAGTGGTCTGGCTTGAAGATCAAAACAACCACAACAATCCATTAATCCAAAACCTAATCCAGAGCAAAGCCCTAACTCTCTTCAATTCTGTGAAGGCTGAGAGAGGTGAGGACACCATAGAAGAAATAATTTAAGCTATCAGAGGTTGATTCCTGTGGTTTAAGGACATAAGCCATCTCCGTAACATAAAAGCACAAAGTGAAACAGCAAGAGCTGATGCAGAAGCTACAGTAAGTTATCCATAAGATCCAGCTAAGTTAATTGATGAAGGCTGCACTAAACAACATCCTTTCAATATAGAGGAAACAACCTTATATTGGAAGATATCACCTAAGACCTTTATAGCTAGAGAGAAGTCAATGACTGGCATAAAACCTTCACAGAACAGGCTGATCTCTTTTTAGAGGAAACTGCAACTTTAAGTTGATGCCAATGCTCATTTACCCCTCTAAAAATCCTAGGGTTCTTAAAAATTATGGTAAATCTTTTTTGTCCATGCTTTATAAGTATAATACCAAAGCCTGGATGATAGCACATATGCTTATAGCATGAGTCACTGAATATTTTAAGCCCATTGTTGAGATCTGCTACTCAGAAAGAAAAAGATTCCCTTCAAAATTTTACTGTTGTTTGACTGTGAACTTGGTCACTCATCAGCTCTGATGGAGGTGCTCAAGATTAATATTCTTTTCATACCTATTAAGGCAACATCTACTATGCAGCCTGTGGATCAAGGAGTAATTTTGAATTTCAAGTATTATTATTTAAGAAATACAGCCTGTAAGGCTAGAGCTGCCATAGCTTGTGATTCCTCTGATAGATCTAAGAAAATTAAACCAATAACCTGGAAATAATTCATCATTCTAGAAGCCATTAAGAACATTCATGATTCATGGAAGGAAGCCAAAATATCTATACCAACAGGAGTTTGGAAGAAATTGATTCCAACCTTTGTGAATGACTTTGAGGAACTCAAGACTTTAGTGAAAGAAGCAACTGCAGAGGTAATGAAAATGATAGTCTGTTCAATGTAGCTGACATGAAAACAAAATATTAGAATATTACATAAACATAATTGATAAAGATGCAGCAAGGAGAGGATTGACTCCAATTCTGAAAATTCTACTGTGGGTAAAATGCTGTCAAACAGCATCACATGCTAGTAGCTTGTAGAAATCTTTTGTGAAAAGAAGAATCAATTTATTCAGCAAATTTCATTGTTGCCCATTTTTTTAAATTTTATCTATTGACCAAATAAGTGATGAGTTTTATTTTTTATTTGTTCATGTTTTAAAAAATTTTAAATTCAGGAGGTGCACGTGGAGGTTTTTTACATAGGTATATTGGGTTCTGCTGAGGTTTGAGCTTTTAATGAGAACATCACCCAAATAGTGGGCACAGAACCCAATAGGTAGTTTTACAACAGTTGCCCCACTCCATTCCCCTCCTCTTTTTGGAGCCTCCAGTGTTTACTATATCCATCTTTATATTTAAAAAGAGCAGGATTTGCTATGCTCTTCTTCTACCAGATAAAACAGACTTTAAATCAACAATAGTAAAAAGAGACAAAGGGCACTGCACAATGATAAAGGGTTCAATTCAACAATAAGTTTTAACTCTCCTAAATATATATGCACCCAACAACAGAGAGCCCAGATTTATAAAACAAATACTGGTAGTCCTAAGAAAATAGATCAATAGCCATACAATAACAGTCAGGGACTTCAACACCCCTCTGTCAGTACTGGGCAGATTATTGGTGTGGAAAACTAACAAAGAAACTCTGGACTTAAATTGGACTCACAACCAAATGGACCAAATAGCTATCTATAGAATACTCCACTCAACAACCAAAGAATATACATTCTTCTCATCTGTGCACAGAACATTTTCTAAAATTGACCAAATGCTTCGTCATAAAGCAAGTCTCAATAGATAAAAAAAAATTGAAATCATATCAAGTATCTTCTTGGATCACAGTGGGATAAAATTAGAAACCAATACCAAGAGGAACTATCTAAACCACACAAGTACACAGAAACTCAGCAACCTGCTCCTGATTTACTTTTGGGTAAACAAAAAAATTAAGGCATTGCTGCCTTATTTTCAGAACTTGCCATAGCCACACCAGCCTTCAGCCACCATCACCCTGATTAGTCAACAGCCATCACTCAAAGCAAGACCCTCCTCCAGCTAAAAGGTTATAATTTGTCTAAGGCTCAGAAACAGAAAGTCAAATAAAGCATGTTTTCGCTTATAAGTGGGAGCTTATTAATATGTACATGTGGACATAGTGTGTGTAATATTAGTCACTGGAGATTTTGAAGGGTGAGAGGAGGGTGAAAAATGAGAAATTATGTAATAGGTACAATGTACACAATTTGAGTGATGATTACAATAAAAGCCCAGGGTTCACCACTATGCAATATATCTTTGTGACAAAACTTGATTTGCACCTCTTAAATTTATACAATTATATATATGTGTGTGTGAGTATATGTGTATATATATATCTCAAATGGACAAGCTTTTAACTAGACTAAGAAGAAAGAGTGAAGATTCAAATAAATAAAATAAAAAATGACAGTGGAGAGACTGCAACTGATACCACAGAAATATCAAGGGTCATAAGAGACTACTAGGAACAACTTATGCCAACAAATTGAATAACCTAGAAGAAATGGATAAATTCCTAAACGCATACAATCTACTGAGATCAAGTCATGATGAAATATAAAATCTGAGCAGACTAATAACACATAAAGATCTGGAGTCAGTAATAAAAAAAATGTGCGTTAAAGTAATATCCACAACCTAATTGCTTCATTACTAAATTCTACCAAACGTTTAAAGAAAAACTAATACCAATCCTTCTAAAACTCTTTCATAAAATCAAAGAGGAGGAAATATATCCAAACTCATGTTACAAGGCCAGCATTACCTGCATACCAAAACCAATTACATTACAAGAAAAGAAAGTTATAGACCAATATCCCTGATTAACATAGATGAAGCAGTCATCAATGAAACACTGGTAAATCAATACTTAATAGCAATTAAAAGAAGCATTTATGATGATCAGGCAAATGTATCCTTGTTATTCCATAGATGGTTCATGTCGATGGTGCATGTCTACAAATTAATAAATGTGATACACACACTAACAGAATGAATAAAAAAGATATATTATCATCTCAAATGCAGAAAATTATTTGGAAAAATGCAATATCATTTTATGATAAAAACTCTCAACATAGTAGGCATGGAAGGAAGGCATCTCCATAATGAAGGCCATATATGTTCAAGCCCACAGCCAACATCATACTCAGTGGCAAAAAGGTGATAACTTTTCATATAAGATCAGGAGCAAGAGAAGAATGCCCACTCTTAACTATTTCTATTCAACATAGTACTGGGACTTCTAGCCAGAGCAATTAGGTGCACTCATACACACACACACACTCACACACCTACACACATGCACACACACAAGAAAGAAAAGAAAAGAAGAAAAATGAAAATAAATGAAACATATCCAAATCAGAAAGGAAGAAAAAATAATTTTCTCAGTTGAAGACTACACAATCTTATATACAGAGAACTCTAAGAACTTCACGAAAACCTGGTAGAACTAATAAATGAATTCAGTAAACATGCAGGATACAAAATCAACATAACAAATATCAGTAGCATTTTTACACATTAATAACAAACTATCCAAACAAGAAATCAGGAAATCAATCCCATTTACCATAGTATCAAAAATGATAAAATACTTTGGAATAAATTTAACCAAGGAATTGAAAGTTTTCTACATATAAACTATTAAATATTGATGAGATAAATTGAAGAAGATACAAATAAATGGACAGACATCTCATGTTCGTGATTTGAAGGAATTAATATTGTTGAAAGGACCATACTACCTAAAGCGATCTACAGATCCAATGTAATCTTTATCAAAATTCCAATGGCTGTCTTCACAGAAAGAGGAAAAAAGTTTTAAAATTTATATTAAAATGCAAAAGACCTCAAATGGACAGACGAATCATAAGTGAAAAGAACAAAGCTGGAGGTGTCACAGTGTTACATCTCACAATCTACCGCAAATCTATAGTGATCAAAACAGCATGGTGTTGGCATTTTAAAAGAAACACAGACCCATGGAACAGAAGAAAGAATCTAGAAATAAACTTACAAATCTATGATCAACTGTCTTTGACAAAGGTATCAAGAACACAAAATTGGAAAAATACAGTCCCATCAATAAATGTCCTAAAGACATTTTTTTTCCTTATGTAAGAACACCATTCTCAACGAAAGCACAAATCTCTGTGGAAGTTCAATTAGGTTTTCCAACTTGTAATATTAATGTAGATGCATAATTTCAGGTTCTAAATGGGGGTGGGGTTGGGGAGGCCAGTCTACATGGTCTGAATGAGCAGTCCTGTTTAAGAAGCTAAAATTGTTTTAATTTCTTGAGGTATGTTACGAAATGGACAAAACTTGAAAACATGAAGCTAAATGAAAGAAGCCAGACACAAAAAGCCACATATTGTATGATCTATTTAGATTAATACCCAGAACAGGCAAATCTACAGAAACAGAAAATAGATTAATTGTTGCCAGGTACTGGGGGAAGTGGGGAAACAAAGTTGTGTCAAATAGTTCAATGTAATAAAATGAGTATGTGCACTAGTCTAATCATAAGAAAATATTACAGTTCCCCAAATATATTCTGCTTCATTTTCTGCCTTGAAAGAATATTTAGTACTTCTCTTGCAAAATTTTCTTGACCTTATGCCACATTTTGATTTGCTCATTTTTAAATTCAGGATTATTTCAATTATACTAAGATTCACTGAGTATATACTCATTGCTTTTATGCATATTTAGGTGCTTTGTATTTCGTGGCAAATTCAGTAGTTTCTATACTTATATTCTAGTGACAAGTAACACATACTAGTTAACTGAGCACTCAAATAATTCACAAGACACCTGGAAACAAAAATGATATAAAAAGACTGTGGTTATAATCCAACAGCAAAATGTCTAAATCTAATGTGCAGGAGAAAGTCTTCCTGGGATGGAGATATTGTCTCAAATCTGAAAAAGATGAAACTTGGGGAGAGGAAGGGATTCTTGGCAGAGGGTTTGACAATTAGAGAGGTCTTGAGGTGGACAGGTCCAGGTCATTTTGGAAGTGAAGTCCAACCTGGCTGGGTTATAAATGGCAATGGAAAGGGCCCCACTCAACTACATTTCTGGCTAGGTTATAAATGGCAATAGAAAGGGCCCAGCTCAAGTACATCTGTGTGCTATAATTATCAATTATCACCTCCTTCATCCCTTTCTCCAGGAAGCTTCCCTTTTCTTCTTTCTCATTCTCAGCCCTCCTAAAATGACCCTCTTTGTGGTTCACAAACAAACAATTCCTTAAGGCATTATTTTAATATCACCTGTTTATGAAATCATTGCTTCCAGTATGAGATTGTGAGTGTTCTTTGCTCAAGTATGGAACACTGAGTTTCATCCCTGTTATCCAAAGCACCTACATAAATGTTATTTCGGTAACATAAAATAGGAAAACAGATAAATACATGAAAACACCATATTTATGAGTGTTTATTAGATGTCAGCATAACAAAATTAATAGAAGATATGGTATGTAACTCGAATAAATATGTGTATATTTATATGTGTGCATATGTTTGTGTGTATATATATGTGTATATATATATATATATATATATATATATAAAATTGCTTTTACTATAGAACCTACAATGCTTGCGCATGAACATTTATCTGTGTATGTCTGAGATATCTGCCCTTTTCATCTATCTCTGTTCTTGTTTCCTGGTGACTACAGCACTGAATCAGCTTGTTGAGAAAACATGAAGATGACCTTATATTGGAATGGATGTATAAGAGACAAGGACACTCTTAACTATTCATTGCAGTTATAGAAGCTAAATACCACTGAATATTTTAGGTTTTCTAGCTGCCAATGTGAAGTGTCCTTGTGTGAAAATATTTCAGAATAAAAGTAAAACCCAAGAAATTCCTATGTGGTAAGTGTGGCATATGAGACACTAGGACATGTCAGGAGAAGGTATCATGGTGGAGGAAAATAAAAACTATGAATAATTCCTGCTTTAGATAAAAGGCTTTATGGCTTTCAAGGGTAACACGTTTTCTTAATTAACCTGTATTCTTTCACAATTGTGACTATGAGCACTGTAATTTTTTCCCTCATATTTTAAAATTCTAATCTCCAAAGTGATGGTTTTAGGAGGTGATGAATTTATAAGGGTATAGCTCTCACTAATGGGATTAACACCTTCAAACAACAGGCCTGGAGAGTTCCTTTGCCCATTCTGCCATGGGAGGGCACAGCAAAAAATGGGGCTGTCTATCAAACAGAAAGGGACCTCTCATAAGACACTGAATCTGCAAGTGCCCTGTTTTAACTTTCCAACAACCAGAACAGTAAGAAATAAATGTATGTTGTTTATAAGCTACCCCATCTACAGTATTTTGTTATAGCAGCCTAAAGAGACTAATATGAGTACCAACATCGTGGAAAACGTTGCTTAACATACATTAAAGCATAAATAAAATGAAGTATTAGTTGATTGTCAATAATTTAGAAGATGTAAACATGTCATCTAATTAGCCCATTTCTCTCTCACATGTCACTTACTTATTACATCTGAAGACTGACTTGAGCTACACAGTGGCCTCTTTTATTAGATATAGTGGATGTGAACTAAAGAGAAGGAAATTTTAAAACCTATTAAAGCATTTCCAAAAAATACAATAAACTGATTTGCTTAATTGTGAACTTCATCTCCCTGAATGAATGGGACTGAAAACATTATTTGAAAATTTTTAGGGAATTCATGGGTTAAATAGAATCTTGAGCAGTTGGCTTATAGTGGCTTTTATCTGAGGATTCTACAGAAACATGGAATACAGCATCAAAAGCTGTAATCTATCCTAGACTGTTTACTTCGATCCTCATCCTTTCCTTCCCTTCTTATTCTTTCTAAATCATATTTTTCATTCAAATCAACCAACGACTGATGGAAAATAGTATTGTTCAAATACAATATTACTAATAGTGACTGTGTGGATGGGTGATGTTTATCTGGAGTCCTTCCTTCATCCTTGCCACTTTAATCCCTAAACATAAGAATGAAAATATCAATCCTCTTTTATACAAAAAAGGGACTTTGTCTAGATTATTTCCAATGACATTTCCAGGCACCACAGTCTATTTCTGTGAATTATGATTCTACTGCTGTGAAAACCCATCCCCAGTGTTAGAATGAGTTGGAAAAAGGTGAGTCACTTCATTTTTATACAAAAGAATCACACTATGCCTCTAGGCTGTTTTGACCTAAAATAGTGGTGAGAAAAATGCCAGTTAGATAGTACAAGTTTCAGGCCGAGTGAGGTGGCTCACACCTGTAATCACAGCACTTTGGGAGGCCAAGGCTGGTAGATTACTTGAAGTGAAGAGTTCCAGACCAGCCTGGCCAACATGGCAAAACCTTTCTCCACCAAAAAAAAAAAAAAAATAGCCAGGTGTTGTGGCAGAAACCTGTAATCCCAGCTACTTGGGAGACTGAGGCAGGAGATTCGCTTGAACTGAGGAGAAGGAGGAGGTTGCGGTGAGCCAAAATGACACCATTGCCCTCCAGCCTGGGCAACAGAGTGAGGCTCCATCTCAAAAAATAAATAAGCAAATAAATAAAGATAATACAAGTTTCAGAAGGCCAAACAGTTAAACACATCAATTTTTACTGTTCTTTTATTCAAATTTGGATCTTCATAAACATGTCATAGTAATGATTTTCCAAATTTGTTAATGCTTAAGTACACAAAAATTAGAACCTCAATGAGTATTGTGACTCACCTACACAGTGGCTACAATGAAAACATTCAAAATATCCAGCAATGGTGAGAATTTGGCACAATCATTAATCTTACATGTTGACAGTAGAAATGGGCATTGACATTTCATGTTGTAAAATTGTATGGCAGTATCTACTATAGACGGACAAACAAATGCCCTATGACTCAAAAATTTCATTCTTAGATTTATAACCAAGAGAAATAAATGAAAGACTTAAACACGTGTACACAAATCTTCACCACTGCATTATTTGCAATAGCAGTAAAATTAAAAACAACTCAATATTTTATCAAAACATTAGATCAGAAGTTGGAGACACTTTCCTTAAAGAGTTAGATACGCATGCAAATTCAGTGTGATTGGAATACTTCGGATTTCTGTATCACAGCCTATAACGAGACTGATCATTCATGGGAAATGGTCAAAGGACACCTTCTGGGTAGGGAAGATAATTTATCATTGGACATAACTAAATTAAAGAAACAAATTTTTGAAGCCTCTCAAGCTCACTTATCCTTTGTGACTGGAGCTGAGGCATTAGATCAGGTGGCAGAAAATCTTCATGGATTAAACTCCACGACTTGGATTAAGTCTACTGGGGGCTCCACTGTAGAAAATTTTGGAATTATGTTTCTCTGTTTAATCGGCTTGTTTTTAGTGTGCCGGACCAGTCAAAGAATCCTGTGTCAAAATCGGGAGAACGAACAAGACTTCATCGCCATGGCACATTTATATAAAAAGAAAGGGAGAGATGTTGTGGGAAGTCAGGAACGCCCAGTGGAGGGACCCACTGAAGCCATGGCAGAAGAACGTGGATTGTGAAGATTTCATGGACATTTATTAGTTCCCCAAATTAATACTTTTATAATTTCTTACACCTGCCTTTACTGCAATCTCTGAACATAAATTGTGAAGATTTCATGGACACTTATCACTTCCCCAATCAATACCCTTGTGATTTCCTATGCCTGTCTTTACTTTCATCTCTTAATCCCATCATCTTTGTAAGCTGAGGAGGATGTATGTCACCTCAGAACCCTGTGAGGATCGCATTAACCGCACAAATTGTTTGTAGAGCATGTGTGTTTGAACAATATGAAATCTAGACACCTTGAAAAAAGAACAGGATAACAGCAATGTTCAAGGAACAAGAGATAACCTTAAATTCTGACTGCCTGTGAGCCAGGTGGAACAGAGCCACATTTCTCTTCTTTCAAAAGCAAATGGGAGAAATATCACTGAATTCTTTTTCTCAGCAAGGAACATCCCTGAGAAAGAGAATGCCTCCCTGAGGGTAGGCCTCTAAAATGGCTGCTTTGAGGGCGGCCGTCTTTTATGGTCGGAGCTGTAGGGATGAAATAAGTCCCAGTCTCCTGTAGCACTCCCAGGTTTATTAGGATGAGGAAATTCCCGCCTAATAAATTATGGTCAGACTGGTTGTCTGCTCTCAAACCCTGTCTCCTGATAAGATGTTATCAATGACAATGCGTGCCCGAAACTTCATTAGCAATTTTAATTTCGCCCCAGTCCTGTGGTCCTGTGATCTCGCCCTGCCTCCATTTGCCTTGTGATATTCTATTACCTTGTGAAGCACATGCTCTCTGTGACCAACACCCTATTCGTACAGTCCCTCCCCTTTTGAAAATCACTAATAAAAACTTGCTGGTTTTACGGCTCGGGGGGCATCACGGAACCTGCCAACATGTGATGTCTCCCCTGGACACCCAGCTTTAAAATTTCAAAAACAAACAAACAAACAAAAAAGAGTTAGATACTATATGTTTTAAGGTTTGCAGATCATAAATTGTAATAATCACTCAGGTTTTCCCTTGTATCACAAAAAATCCATAGATAATATATTAATAAATTGGTATTTCCAAGTTCCAAAAAGAATTTATGGGTCATAGTTTGTTGATCCCTGCTCCAAATTAGATGAATAGCATTATGTTATGTTTTCACCTCAGCATGCTACCAACAATGAGAATGAATGCACTATCTCCACATCAACAGCATGGAGGAATCTCACAAACGTAATGTTGGGTGAAAGAAGCCAGACTAAAAAACAGTGTAAAAACTGATTTTACTACTACATACTTCAAAAAACATACGAGATTACCCAGCATATGGACATCAATTCATAATGCATGCAGAGACAATTTATGAGATGCTAGTAATTTTGGTTTTTATTGGCCTGGTTCTGGGTGCTGAAATATTTTCCTTTCTAGAAATGTACTTGGAGTATATTTTCTAAATAATAACTTTCTATACGTATGTTATTTCCTAAAAAGTTTTGCCAAAACAAAGTATATTCCCTAAGATATTATTTTACTGCAGGATTTTTTTTTAATCTAGCAGTTTCGTGTATATCCTAAGTGTTCAATATATGTTTGTAAAATTAATGCAGTGCCCAAATTTTATAGAATATCTTAATAAATGATTAATATTTATTTCACTAAAAGTTCTGTCCTGCTTGTAGAACAACAATGTCTTTATCAACTCACAGTAGCAGGGAAACTTAATGTTCTTTGGTATCAGTATCATGTAATGAACTCTGTTTCATAACATTCCATGCTTTAGGGCCTGACAACTGTTTTCCAAAGAAGGTGGTTTTTAGGAAGACAATTGCTTCCATGGTAATGGAAGTCACCACAGAAGCTTTAAATATATATACTTTTTTTTCCTTACTTACTTGGGTCTGATATATAACATTTCTCCTAAAGACAATTTTTTTTTATCAGTTATGTGAGAACATTATTCTGAATGAAAACACAAATTCCTGTGAGACTTAAATAAATTTATCCAACCTGTGATATTAATGTAGTTACATTAATAAGGGTTTGCAGGCCACAAGTTGCATGGTAATTTCTAAATCAGGACGGGGGATTGGTGGGGAAGAGAGTCCACATGTCCTGGAGAAACAGTTGTATATGAGAAGCTAAAGCTGAGTCCTGACTAAAGAAAATTAACCTGCGAGAATTTAGCATTCCTGAAGACAGGGAAGCATCTGGGGTAAAAAAAATGAGATTGTAAAACAGAATCAGAAGAAGGTGACCAAGGGCAACTCCATCTTCTCCAAATACATACTAGAAAAGTAAACAATGTTTGTAAAGCTCTTGGGTAATACAAATCCATCTGTTTCTTGATGTTTAACTGTTAGGACAATTACTAGCAACTACTTGGGTGGTTTGAGTTTGCCCCAGCCGTATCTCCCACAGGAGTACATTTGTTATCTTAGTATTGGTATCATCACACAAGAAATTACAATGCAATATTAAAAAAAAATCATCACTAAGAATTCCTTTTCCCCAAGTTAAAAATGTACTAATTTACTGATTTTAGACTAATGGGTGTTTTAGCTTTATAGAAAGCAAGGGAGGAAAACAACAATAAATAAACAAATGAAAACAAAACAAAACAAAACAAAACAAAAAACAGAAAACGGCCAGGCATGGTGGCTCATGCCTTTAATCCAGAATTTTGTGAGGCAGAGGCAGGTGGATCACGAGGTCAGGAGTTCAAGACCAACCTACCCAACATAGTGAAACCCCGTCTCTACTAAAAATACAAAAATTAGCTGGGCATGGTGGCATGTGCCTGTAGTCCCAGCTACTTGAGAGGTTGAGGCAGGAGAATCGTTTGAATCTGGGAAGCGGAGGTTGCAGTGAGCCAAGATCGTGCCACTGCACTCCAGCCTGGTGACAGAATGAGACTCCATCTGAAAAAAAAAAAAAAGAAAAGAAAAGAAGAAAAGAAAAAAACAGAAAACATACACCTACCCACCGCTCCATCCACACACACATGAAAAAACCCATGTGTTTTTATTAAGTCACAGATAAAGTTTCAGAAAAAGTAAAAAGTTACATGGAGTACTTCAAGGCATAACTGGTACATGTCTAATACATCTTACTATTTTTGCCCTCATATTTTGCATTTACTGGCTTAATTTCAAATAAATTAGCTGCATTCAGATTCAGAATATACCCCTGCTGTACACGATTATCATATATTGTCTTGAAATGTCAATCAGCAGTAGATATTAAATGAACATAGCAATTTGCACTTATTAGAGTACGTCATGATTCGCATATTTTAAAATATAACTGAGAACATGGCTAATACAGAAAGCATCTCCAAGGCTGCTTTTCATTTCAATTACATGTAACAACCTCCCTAGAGAACAAGGCATACAATAAAATGTAAGCAGTAGTTGCAGAGTTGGTCAAAATCTTTTAGACTGTTTTAAATCTCTTACTCTATATATATAGTGCATATATGGGTATATTTTACATATATGTACATATATTTTACATAGTTTACATATAAATATCTATGTAAAATGTCCTCTTTCTATAAAGAAAACAATTATGTTAAATACGTTTTCACAGGAACAGATTTAAATGAATTTAGGCCAAGATTTTGAGGACCCGCGTATTGATCACTAGATCATTATTCAAATGTCATTCTTATTTTTTCTTCATCTACCTACAACTCTATTTTTCTTACATAACCACAGAACACAGAGGTACTTGTATGGTATTGGATATGATATTATTTGTTTTAGTCAGAGATAACTGTGGAACATAGAATTCAATAGAATTCAATTTGTCTCACAAGGTCCGCTAACTCTTTTTAATCAAGAACAGGCATATTTCAGAGGTACACAAAAGAAATAATGACAAAGGAAAATAATCAATCAATATTACAGCTTCTGAGAAATAGGATGAAGAACATTTAAGACAAAACAATGTCTGAAGTATGAAAGTTAACTGTGAACATTTAAATATTTTTGTCAACTGTCTTTATGTCATGGGATACCTGGGGTGTTATTTCGCCAGCCAGAGACCTCTGTTGCTGGTGGCACCTTTGCCCAAGTAGGCTTTTGCTTGGGCTTGCTGGGCTCCCTCCACTGCCTTGACCTGGCAGGCTGTACTTGGCTCGCACTACCAGCCCAGATCCCATGCCTGCCATGGGTGAGCCAGGCTGGAGTGGGGATGGATGAGTGAGCATACAAGCATGGAGTCTGGCCACTGCACACTGCCAGGCATGCCAGCTGCTGCAGCAGGATGGGCAGCTCCAGGTGCCGGATCCATGGAAGCCTGTTGCTGGTTCAGATGCACCACAAGCAGCCTCTACTGCGGGCACCCATGTCTGGATGAGGGGAACATGGTACCAGCCAGAAGCATGGAGACACCAGAAACCGAAGAGCCCCAAAGAAGGTGTCACAGCACTGGCTTGGACAGCCCTTAGTTCTGGGCCCCCTGAAGGGCCGCAGCTCTTCTCTCCTTCTTGTCACTTGCAGTGTGGAGAGTGGTTGGGGGGCCACACTGAACTCATTTCAGCCCTATTTGTGTTACAGCTCTTTCTGTCCCGCCACTCGGCAGGTTCCAAGTTCTTGTCCTGCCTCCAGGAAGATTGAGGTATGCAGACAATTGGAGGGTGAGCAAGGTGAAGAGGTGCTTTACTGAGCTACAGTACAGCTCTCAGGAGACCCAGAGTGGTTAGCTCCTATCCACAGGCAGGTCATCCCCAAGAGTGTACAACTCTTAGCAGAGAGGAGACCTAGAGTGGGTAGCTCCTCTCTGAAGGCAGGTTGTCTCATCATCTGCCTAAGTTTGGCTGAGTCTGGGGTTTTATGGGCTTCAGAGGGGAGGAAGTGTGTGCTGATTGGTCCATGGGTGGCCACAGGCGGGCCCAGGAAAAGCACCATAAGTTTTCACTCTGGTCGGTGGAACTGGCCACCTGGCCCCCAGTCTTCAGGCTATCCCTGGCTTGATGTTGAAGTTTCACCAGAGACCTACCCCTTTGAACCCAGGAGCCTGTCTGAATCAATAAGTAAAGAAATAAGAAAAAAAGTTAATTTTGATTGAAAGCTTATCATAAGGCAAAAAGAAATCATTGATTGTCTAGTATGTATCTCAAATATATGTTTTGTATCTTATAATTAAGTACATAAGTGGTTGTGGATGCTAAAGGCAATGGCATATTAAAGGCAAGTGTAAATTATTTCAAAAATAATTAAAGTACTTATTGAGATTATTATAAGATATTTAATAGCTTCCATGATTCTTCTCTAGTTTTCTGATTATCAAAGTACTGCAAGTGGCTTCTGTGGTAAACAGGGACATGGATATGCATTTGAAGGACCATATGAGAATCACAAACACTCAAATGTTTTCTGCAATTACACAGGCTAAAAGTCACTCAATATCTAAGGCTAGCTAGGTGCCATTGTAAAATGCTTTTGAGTGAAAACATTTTAGATTTCCTGTAAATCCCAAGTTGAGCAATGATACTCTGTTCTCTAGGATGACATTCTTTCTGAGATTCGGAGACATAGCATGGGGAAGTATAGAAGTAGAAAACTCAATGGGGTTGCTTCCTTTGGTCATTATATCTCCTCAGTTAATCCATGTTCTTTTGGAAATTTTACCTGCACACTAGATATATCTGGAACAGCATCATGGCAGGAGTGTGCTTGAATCAGAATAAAGTCCAAGAAAAGGTGGATGTCAATCTCCAATATGCAACAATAAGAATGAATGTACTACAATTGTATGAAACAAATTGGATGTATTGCATAAATATGTCATTAAGTAAAAGTGCATACTGTAGGCATCCATTTATATATGGTTCAAAAAATATGAAAGTAATTTACTGTTTTAAACATCAAGAAAGTAATTACCCTTTGGGAGTAGGAGGGTAGTAACTTAGGAGGGATCATGCAGAAGACTTTGGGGGATTCTGGTAATATTCTTTCTTTCTTTCTTTCTTTCTTTGGGTCCTGGTTACAGGAGTATTTTTATTTTTTTTGAAAATTCATCTAGTTGTATACCTATCATTTAAGTATAATCTGTATGTATATTACACATCAAAAGATTTTCTAAAAGCAAAATCTGTTCACCATTAGACTGTAGAAATTTCAGAATGTTATTACTATAAATTTGTATTACTAGTAATTCCTTGTATTCAATAGAGTTCAGCATGTTTTTGTGAAAAAGTTGTGCAACTTTCATAAAATATTTCAGTAAATATTTATTTATTAAAATTTCTCTTTTTAAAATAAAACAAAAATGTTTTATTCAGCCTTTAAGAACTTTTAGTATTGTTTCCTGTAAAAGGGAAGCTAAGAGAGCCTGATTCTTTTTGGGACAGTACCATGCACTAAACTTATTCATAATGGTTTATGACTTAGGGACAAACAACCAGGTTTTTCTGAAGGAAGAAGATTATAAGCAGACAGTTACTTACAGAGTATTATCTTTCGGAGCACTGGTGACACCAGGGAACAAATTTAGATACAGATATTTTTCCTCAGTTGCTTACCTCTGATGTGAATTCCAACTAGGTTGTTTTCTTCCATAATTTAAGAAAGCATCTTCAATTAAATACCAATAACTTTATCCAACTTTTTATAATAATGTAGCCACTTAGATTCAGGTTTTAATGAAAAGGGTTGAAGAGAATTTAGCCTACATGTCCAGGGACAGTCGAGTTTAGGAAGCTAATTTAGGTCTTACCTAAGTAAAGTATAACCTAAAGAGTCCTGTCATTCCTGTAAACATGTAATCACATGATATGAAAATGAGTTTGAATCAAGTTAAACGTCCATTTCCTTTAAGTATGGACCAGAGAAGTAGATGATGGTAACAAAGCTCTTGGGCAGCACAAATGTATCAGTGTCTTTAGTGTAATGGGTGGAAAATTATTACAGTTAATTTGTTGGACTTGTCTTTAACAACATGTCTAATAGCCATAAATTTAGCATATTTGTAACACCACCATCTCCCAAGCAATGACAATAAAGCATAAAAAGTCACTGAAATTTAATACTAAAAAGTACTTTTCCCCCAATCAAGAATATTTTAATAATTTAGCCAGATGTAGGCTAGCTTTATAGGAATTTTGAGAAAAGGCTATGCCCCTGTCTACTCCCTGGTAAGGTTTGGGAAGACACAGGAATCACCTGGAGTGTTTATATGGATACACTGGCTTATGTCTATCACTGACTATTTTAGTTACACATTTTTCTTTCACTTTTTTGTAGTAAAAAATAGATTAACTTCCTTAAGACAGAATGTCAGTGGGAATACATTTTTGTACAGTACAGTCGACAGTAGACTTTAAAGAACACATAGAAATCTGTACTTGTAAGTATCCAGCAATGAATCACATATTATAAAACACCACTCAGAACATGGCCAGTACAGAGAAATTTTTTTTCATTACACTGTAGTCAGAAACATATTGAGAGCAGGTGCTTGGAGAAAGAAAACTTCATGCCTATGAGACTCCAGAAGTTTACTCTTTACTTCTGAATTTCACTTTTGGTATCTGTATAATGAAGTTGTTAGAGATGGAAACATAAGACAATATTTGAAATGTATGATAAGATATATGGAGATATAGTAATTAGTATATGGAAAACACATGGGATGTGATACACGATCCATTGTAGAATGTATTTAAATTCATACCTTTTCCTCCACAAGCCCAGGCCTGAATGAAGAGGTGCTTTAAAAGCACATTTTTAGAAGGGAGAGTAGAGACAATTTTATGGCCAGAACAATGTGAATGCAGGATTCAGCTCTCTGTCCCATGAAGTTAAAGGCTAAAATAGTTGACTAAAATAGGGACGGAGAGGAGAGCAATACATAGCAGCCATAGGGGAGTCAATGGGGTAGACACAAAATTCACACTTTGAGTAACTTCCAAGTATCAAAGGACTGCCATGAATAATTGTACACAAAACTTATTTTGGAAATAAATAGAACTTAGCTTTTTTCTTAAAAAGCATGGCCTCAACACATGTTTTCTTTTTTTTTTGAAACGGAGTCTCGCTCTGTTGCCCAGGCTGGAGTGCAATGGCGCAATCTCAGCTCACTGCAAGCTCTGCCTCCCAGGTTCACGCCACTCTCCTGCCTCAGCCTCCCGAGTAGCTGGGACCACAGGCGCCCGCCAACACGCCCAGCTAATTTTTTTGTATCTTTTAGTAGAGACGGGGTTTCACCATGTTAGCCAGGATGGTCTCGATCTCCTGACCTCCCGCCTCGGCCTCCCAAAATGCTGAGATTACAGGCTTGAGCCACCGCGCAGGGCCACGTTTTCTTTTAAATAATCATCTTTGTACATATCAACTATATTAGGAGAAACAGACCTGAAAGTTTGTTTATGTTTATTCTTGGTTGAACATTACCAGCCTAATAAGCAGAAAATATTTAACATCACACAATCACATTTAAAAACATACATTACTCACACATATCTCTGTGCTAGAGATTGTGGGAATGTAGAGAGACACCTAGGCCAACAGACAAATAAAATATAAATTAAGAAAAAGTGTGTTCAATGTGACGGATGTTGTACATCCATAAAATAATTGAAATGAGGGTAGTTGTCACTGTAGTTGGGGAAAAAGTACTCAGACAATGATTAATGAAAAAAAGCAGCATGTTAGATTATCTTATTTCTAAATGGGAGATGAAGGAGATTTTCAGAAGTGGAAGAAACAGGATGAACAATGAAAAGGACAAGAAAACCATTAAGTTGAAAATCTACTCAAGTTTCATTGGCTGTCTTATTTCATGATAACCATGAAGCATACTGTTAAATGAATTCTGATAAATTTCTAACATTGGTCAATTTGGTGATAAAGCTGAAAAATTAAAAATGGAGCCTTTGGTAAACTAGTTGCAGCATTCACTGGGGAAAATACAGAACTAGGAATCTAATTAATCATGTTTGAATAACATAAAGGAGTGAAGGCAGAGGCTTGAGAGATTTATGTCCCAACAGTCACCAGTAAAAATAAAATGTGATCTGCCTATTGTTCACATACCAGAGGTAAGGACAGAAAGACTTGCTCATCTCAGGTAGGTTTCTGAATGATCAATTTAAAGGACAGAGGAAAAATTTTGGAAAAATAAGAAATCATGTATTAAGGAATTTACAAATGAATGATTTTATAGATGCTTACTCAGTTGAAGCACCTCTGGAATCTAATGGCCAAACAATGATATTTTCTTATTGGATCTGTGTGAATTTGACTGACCTTACTTGTCATTGTAAGAGGATAATATAGATTTCACCCATTTATATTTTAATCAACCTTCATAAGTAAATCATTACTTTAAAAAATCACTGTACCTGTGATATTATTTTAGATGTAAATTTAAGATAGGTTCTAGATTTACTCAAATAATAATAGAGGTAACACATTACAGATATTAATTTATGAAAATTCAAGTTCTTAAGGTACATGCCATAATATTTAAGTCTAGAAGAAATAACAATCAGACCCACCCCACATTTCAATTTTCATATAACAGACACACACAGGCACACACACACACACAAGAGTAAGTGCACATATAACACAAGCAACAGAAGCCTATATATTTCAGAAACACTTATTGTTCTTCACATTTTGATTTTAATGAAAAAGTCAATTATAAGCAAATATAAGTAGTCTGTTGTTCACACTTCTTTTACCACTTACATTTGGCTTTTGTTTTTTAGAACCAGATAAGTCATCCAAATGGATTATAAATGCTGTGACAAACCAGTGATGATGAGTAACAGTTAAATAAAACATTTTTCTTTTCCAGTAAGCACTAACGACACCACATCAAAAACAGTACCATAATAATTTTCTCTTATTAACTTACATGTAATATCACTGTCAGTGGTAGAAAAATGTATATATTTCTTGAATAATGCAATAAATATGATCCTTTTTTGTCAAATATATGAGATGCTTAGTCCGGTATGTTCTGGCCCTTGTGACTCTAACTATGGTGTTTCTTTCACATCCTTTTGGATCTGTACTGAGCTTTCAGTTTAATCAAATTGACTGCCTTAGATTGTACAATAGAAGCAAAGACAAATGATATATGTCAGAAATTGCATGTAAGTTTAGATTCAAAGTTGATCAACTTCCTTTGGCAGACACTTTTAGGGTTTTTTTTTTTTAATACAGTAATAATGCCTCTTTGAAAGTGACACTCACCTGGGATACTTTTTGAGGGTAAAGAAGATAATTTACATAAACAAATCTTGTTCTACTTTACAGATAATTTTTTTTTTGATATCTTGGAAAGTCAAGTTCTAGACTGTCATTCTCGTAATGATTTCTGTAGCAGTTTGAAACAAGAACAAGGAAGAATGGACTGGGAAAATTGCTCCTCATTAACTGATTTTTTTCTCTTGGGAATTACCAATAACCCAGAGATGAAAGTGACCCTATTTGCTGTATTCTTGGCTGTTTATATCATTAATTTCTCAGCAAATCTTGGAATGATAGTTTTAATCAGAATGGATTACCAACTTCACACACCAATGTATTTCTTCCTCAGTCATCTGTCTTTCTGTGATCTCTGCTATTCTACTGCAACTGGGCCCAAGATGCTGGTAGATCTACTTGCCAAGAACAAGTCAATACCCTTCTATGGCTGTGCTCTGCAATTCTTGGTCTTCTGTATCTTTGCAGATTCTGAGTGTCTACTGCTGTCAGTGATGGCCTTTGATCGGTACAAGGCCATCATCAACCCCCTGCTCTATACAGTCAACATGTCTAGCAGAGTGTGCTATCTACTCTTGACTGGGGTTTATCTGGTGGGAATAGCAGATGCTTTGATACATATGACACTGGCCTTCCGCCTATGCTTCTGTGGGTCTAATGAGATTAATCATTTCTTCTGTGATATCCCTCCTCTCTTATTACTCTCTCGCTCAGATACACAGGTCAATGAGTTAGTGTTATTCACCGTCTTTGGTTTTATTGAACTGAGTACCATTTCAGGAGTTTTCATTTCTTATTGTTATATCATCCTATCAGTCTTGGAGATACACTCTGCTGAGGGGAGGTTCAAAGCTCTCTCTACATGCACTTCCCACTTATCTGCGGTTGCAATTTTCCAGGGAACTCTGCTCTTTATGTATTTCCGGCCAAGTTCTTCCTATTCTCTAGATCAAGATAAAATGACCTCATTGTTTTACACCCTTGTGGTTCCCATGTTGAACCCCCTGATTTATAGCCTGAGGAACAAGGATGTGAAAGAGGCCCTGAAAAAACTGAAAAATAAAATTTTATTTTAAGGAAATAGTAAAAATACATGTTTATACACACAAAAATGCATATTCATACTGGTGTTTTCTTCAAATTATATATTATAACATAAAGTTGTCTCAAATACCCTAATTTAATATAATACATATTTTACTCAGCCACAATCTAGCAATTCTCTGGAATTGTCTAAATATGCTATTTTTTTAATGTGTTTTCAATTTAGGTAAGGTAATTTCTCTATATTTGAAAAATGCTCCAGTCTTTGAGTTAGTGGGGCAAATTTTTATTTGTTTAATATATATTTCAGAGTAATTTTTCTTTTTTTCTTTTCTTTTTTTTTTTGTGATGGAATCTGACCCTATTGCCCAGGTTGGAGTGTAGTGGTGCAATCTCGGCTCACTGCAACCTCCGCCTCCCTGGTTCAAGTGATTCTCATGCTTCAGCCTCCCGAGTAGCTGGGATTACAGGTGCCTGCCACCAGGCCCGGCTAATTTTTGTGTTTTCAGTAGAGATGGGGTTCCAACATTTTGACCAGGCTGGTCTCGAACTCCTGACCTCAGGCGATCCACCCATCTTGGCCCCACAAAGTGGTGGGATTACGGGCGTGACAGGCAGTAATTTTTCTAAGACTTATTGAGTGTTTAGTACATGCCTTTCACATTGCTGTGTACTTTGCATTTCATGCTGAATCCACTATATTCTGTACTAGTGAGTCATAGAATATAGTGGAAACATTTAATTAATCAAACTAACCAATAATTCATAATAAACTATAAAAGGCCATGAAGTCAAAAGGCAGGGTACTGTAAGCATAAACAAAATGTCTAACTAGAGTGAAGAAAAGAAAAGATTCTTTGAAATGGGGACATTTGGTTTTAGATCTAAAAATTCATAGAGATCCAATGGGTGGGTGGAGAGAAGAAAGGATTCTAGATAGAGAGGCTGAAAATTAGACATCCTGAGGTGGACAGGGCAATGCCTTTTTAGAGGAAAGGAAGTCCAACATGTAAGAATTGAAGGATAAAGTGGTACATGCAGTAAAGTCTAGTTGAGTTGATATTCTCTATTCATTTCCACTCTGCTTCTCTTCCCTTCTTCCTATTTCTAGCCCTATTTAAATGTCCCTCTTGTGGTTCATATATAATACTCTTTCAAAGGTACTATTCTATCTATCAGTCTGTTTATTGAACAAACACCACGAGTGTGAGACTGCAAGCATTCTTTGCTCAAAGACTGCATGTGTTATGCCTGTCATCCCAACCAAAGCATCTGCATGGTTTCTGGGTCACCAAATGGAAAAATAGATAAATAATAAAAACCAACACACGGTATAACATTTTTGAATGTTTGTGAGATATCAAAGTCTAGTTAAGTGAGGGTATAATGTGTGCTTTGAATATATATTTTATAGGTTTTTAAAAAACTTTTAAATTTAGGGGTACAAGTGAAAGTTTGTTACATTGGTAAACTTGTGTCATGGGGGTTTGTTGTACAGATTATTTCCTAACCTAGGAATGTGGCCATATATTTGCAAAATCATACAAAACCCAGGTAAAAAGCTTAGTACCCATTAGTTATTTTTTCCTAATCCTCTCCTGTCTCCCACCCTCCACGCTCCAAAAGGCCCCAGTGTGTGTCTCCAAAAGGCCTCCTCTATGTGCCCATGTTTTCTCATCACTAAGCTCTAAGTAAATGAAATGGTTATGGATACCAAGGTGATGAGTCTACAAAGACATGCATAGTAATTACATAGGAAGTTACAGGCATTCATGTGGGTGCTTTCTTCATGTTCACCTACTTTCATTCAGCTCTGCTCCAATGTATAATGCTAAAACCCTATGAGAAACTTGTTGAGAAAACATGGCTGAGGCCACATGTTTGCAAAATCATACAAAACTCAATGACACTTTTCATTAGCCCTTATGATTGTGTAATCTAAAAGACATTGAAAGTCTTAGGTTTTTTTGCTGTCCTTGTAAAATGTCCTTCTGTGAAAACATTGCAGAATGTAAGTAAAGCCCAAAACACACCTCTGCTTTGCAAGGTTTCATTTGTGGGACACTGTGACAGGCTATAGATAAGTATGTTGATGCAAAAAAAAAAAAAAAAAACTACGGGGAATGCTTTATTTTGGAAAACAGGTTTGGAGGGTTTCCACTTGTGACATGTTTTCTCAATTTACTAATACACTTCTGTTAATCTGTTTTATGAGCAGCAGCAGGGTAGAAAACACCCTTTGAAATATTATTAAGTCCAGACAGATTGGAATGTTAGTGAATTGCTGCTAAGATATAAACACGTCATCTCCCTTCCATATAACATATGACAGTTATGTCATGAAAAGGTTGATTTGATTTGCCTTTTGGCTACTTTAATCATGTATAATGAGTGTTGCCTAAAGAGAAGGAAATTTCAACCCCAACAAAGGCAAGGTATTACGCTCAATAAACATAGGTCTAAAAATGGAAGAAACTGAATTAATTAATTGTAACCATTATTTCTCTGAATTTGTACAATTAAAGGTTGAGAAATCGCTTATTGGGAATATTGCTTAGGATATTCATGACTTGAATAAAGATTTGGGCCAGATAGCCTGATCTAACAGTTCCATCCTGGGAGTCTACAGAAATAGGTAAAACATTTATTACAAGGCTTTGATCCGTTCTAGCTTGTCCACCTCAATTCCCACCATTTCCTTCCACTCTCTGTCTCTCTAAATCACTCTCTTATCACACAGTCACCAATGACTGATGAAAAATAGCATTGTCCAAATTTGATATCACCCATGATTTTGTGTAGTGGGTTAACAAGGTAGGAACATTTCTATATCATGAATCCTTTCCTTTAGCCTTGGCACTGAAATACCTAAACATAATAATGACATACGATGGTAGATTTGGATATACATGTAATGCAATGAACAGAAATACATAATGGTGATAGGTTGTATAACTACACTTGTTAAAGTAGAGCAGTACTAATGCTCAATGAGGCAGAATATGGGAGGTCCTGTGTTGAAACCAGAGGCAGTGACTTTTAACCTCCTTGAATATCTCTCTCTAGAAACATGTTATGAACTAGGCACTCGATGCAACTTTAAATTACTGTGGTATTTAACAAGACTCTTCCTCTCTAGAAATGAGTCCCGTCTCATCACCCCCCATAATAAAAAGCCTCATGCTAGTATATTTATAAGATACTTTTCAGTTGCCACATTTTTTTTCTATACATCTATGAGTCTACTGACATGTAAACCTATTCCCACTATTGGATATGCAGTATTTTAAAAGAAATACAAAAATGATGAGTGTCTTCATCTTTCTTTTTTTTTCTTTTTCTTTTCTTTTTTTTCTTTTTTTTTCTTTTTTTTTTTTAGATGAAGATGAAATCTCACTCTGTCTCCCAGGCTGGAGGGGAGTCGTGCGATCTTGTCTCACTGCAACCTCTGCCTCTCGAGCTCAAGTGATTCTCCTGCCTCAACTTCCCGAGTAGCTGGGATTACAGCCATGCACCATGACACCCGGCTAATTTTTGTATTATTAAGAGAGATGGGCTTTCACCATGTTAGCCAGGCTGGTCTCAAACTCCTGACCGCAGGTGATTTGCCCACTTTGGCCTCCCAAAATGCTGGGATTACAGGCGTGGAGTGGCTTCATGTTTATACAAAAGGACTGCCTGTGTCTCCGGGCTGACTTGACCTGAAATTGCAATGACAATGGTGTTAGCTAGAGTGTATGAGTCTTGAAAGGCGAGATATTTTAAAGGAGCATAGCCCCTTTAAATGGCCTTCCATTCTGCATTCAGAATTTCATAGACACATCACAGAATTGGTTACATAACTATTAGTATTCCAGGAAATAAAAATTAAAATCTTAATGCAGTACTATGACTCATCTAAAAATCAACCAAAATAAGTATGATCGACAATATTAATGTCAAGTTTTGGTGTGGATGTGGAAAAATCATACCTTGTACACATGGGTAGTAAAAGTCAGATTGGCATTCACCTTTGGAAAACTAATTGGCAGTTATCTGCTATGGCTGGACACATGCATATCTTATGACTCCAACATTTTGTTCCTTGTTTTATACTCAATAGAATTGAGTAAATATGTCTACCTAAAGACTGTACAAAAATAATCACAGTAACATTATTTGGAATTTGTTGAATAACATTTGATTTGTTTATTAGGATGTTACACAACAATGAAAATGGAGAAACTACCACTACACGCAACAGTATGGAGGAATTGCACATAAAATGAGTGAAATAACCCAGGCATGCAAGAATACAAATTCAATGATATCATTTCTAAATGATTTTTGAAATAAAACTAATCTATCATATTGGATGTCAGTTTATGTTTGGGTCCAGGGACAGTCTCTGAATTGCTGGTTATGTTCTAATTTTTGTTCTGGGTTTTGGATACAAAAATCTTTTCATTTCTGAAAATTCACTTGATATTTACTTTAAATATGTATATACGTGTACATATATGTGTGTATATATGTATACTTTAAAATGTATGCATACTTTAAACATTTTTCAAACAACAAAGGGTATTTACAATCAGATTGTGGACAACTGCAGGATTTCATAATCACTTTTTAAATCTCTAGCAGTTTCTAGGACAAAATATATTTTCAAGCTATGCTTGTAAAAATAATAAAGCACACAACTCTCACAGAATATTTGATTAAATCATTATTCTTTATGTTACTAAAAATGTGCTATCTCGCTTATAAAACAGAGATGCTGGTAGCGCAGTCACTGCTTGTTCTCAGCAACAAGGAGATTAATGATCCTGGTTTTCCTTGGTACCAGTAAATAAGTTAATGCACTGACCTTATTTGAAAATGGCCCATGATTCAGGGCCAGGAAACTATTTTCTGAAGGAAGAACTTATAAGTAGACAGTTGACTATGTAGTATTGTGTTTAGCGGCACCCGTGACATCATTTAGATACACACGTTTTTGTTTTTGTTTTCTCAATTGTTTGTCTGCGAAATCTTAAATTTTACCTTAAGTCTTTTTCCCTCATGATTTTAAAAAAGTCATTCTCTAATAAATTGCAAGTCCTTTGGGAGATAATTTAAATTATCCAATTTTCCACAATATGTTGATATTCATGCTCTAGTGTAAATGGGGAATGGGAATTAGACTATGTTGTCTGGAGGGGCAGCTGTGTTTATGAAGTTAAAATCTGAATCCTGCCTAAACAGAGTGTAGCTTAAGGAAATTTGGTATCTCTGGAGAAAAGCACCCATGGGCAATAAACGTGAGCTTGGAAAGGAATTAGAAGAAGGTGACCTACAGAGCTTATAGCTTTCAGTGAACGCCAAGAATGAGTTCTCAGACAATTCCAGCTTAGCGGGACGAGGGACAGCTCTTCTAAGAGAATCCGCCCCAGCATCCATCTGCCAAGTATTTATTGAAAGGGCTTGTTAACCCACAAACATCCAATAGATGGTTTTTTTGAGGTCTGTTCGTGAGACACCTGTGGCCTTGTAAAAGCACTCAAACCGCATTCTCAGGAGGCTGTTTTCAGCGTTCCTTATTGCACCAAACACTCCACAAGGAGTTTCATTCTCATGCACAAAATACATACAGACAGTGCCTCAGTATTTTTCCATGCCCCAACCTCAAATGCCATGCACATAAGTTGAATATGTTGCCATGCACCCCCCACAGTGACCAGAGACACCTCCACATCCTCCAAATGTGCGCCAGGGAAGCACACAGTGACAGGAAACTCTTGGGTAACAAAAATACTACTTTACTGAGTTTACCTCATGGAAGACGATTAGCAATTACTTAGTTGGTGTGAGCTTTGCTTCAATATTCTCTCCTACAAAAGTACATTTGGCATTTTACTATTGGGATTGTCTCACAAAAATGACAATGAAATATAAAAAAAATAAAAATCGTCACTAAAAATCACTTTTCCAAAAACTGTAAATACATTAATTTCAATGAATTTCACCTAAGTATTCCAGCTTTATATAAACCAAGTAGGAAACACTATAACAAGAAGCAAGAGAGACAAATAAAAATAACAACAACAAATCTATGACTCCTCTTTACTCCAGGTGGGGTTTCAGAAACGACCTGAAGTATTGAAGTGTATAAACTTGTACATGTCTTCCTCATTTTACTGTTTTGCTGTTTGAATAAATTTTGCATATACAGAATTTGTGGTAATTAAATTAATCACATTACAACTCAAGAGCTACAGCTAGTGTACATAATTGTTGTGCATTTTCTTGAAATATCAATCAACATTAGACATTTAAAGATCACATAGTAACCTAAGCTTATAAGCACACTGTAGTGATTAATGCATTATAAAATACCACTCAGAAGATGGCCAATACAAAGGATATATGCTAAAGGCTGTCAGGCTGCACGACTTTAGGGGGCACTGATTTCTTTATTTTCTACTTGTTTCCTGCAATTTTTCAATGCAATGACCTGCCACATCACTTTCTATTGGCACCAATATTAATGACCAAGTGCCTAGTTGATATAAACAAGATAAATTACTCTCCGTATAGCAAACGTTATTTCTTCCTTCTATCTTCAGTCACTTCTGGGATCCTCCTGCCCTGCTTGAGAAGTGACATGAGTGATCTTTGAGAGTTTATGGGCCGTTAATTTTGTGAAATTTCTAACATCACTTTAACATAAACACATTACAATATTCTGTAAGAGTATTTAAGAACACTATATTTTAAGACAGATCTGTTTTATTGTATTTTATTAAAAGATATATTATGAGCAATTTCTATGGATACAATCAAACAATGTCTATAAGACTAAGTTTACTTAATAACTCTGGGCTTCAGGTTCTACATCATATAATGAGGTTGTATGAGACAACTCAGGACATATGTGACAATATATGAAACATATCATAATATGTGATGATAATTAGATAATTATAAAACACCTGACTTGGCAAGAAGACAAAAATTGCCTTTAATTAAGATCAAATCTTTTATTTTTACAGGCCATTTTTAAAAACTTATTTTAATGAAACACTTGGATATGATAAATTATGTATGTGTAATTTTAGTCATATCAGACTTTCTGTGACATGAAGAATTATATATAAATGAAATGGCCATTAATAGAGGATTGGTCAAATAAATTAATGTACATAAATAGAAGTGAATGCATTTTCCTCTAATATTATTTTTTTATATATAAAAATGTTATTCTGACATCATTTTTGTTTAAAAAGCAGAAATCCAATACCATAGACAACAGAACCTGCTTATCCTTATGCAATATGATTATGCCTACTTTTGCTTTTTTTACTAATATCTTTATTTTCCAGCATATTGTAGGAGTGTTGTTTGTACATTTAAGTGTGTTTGAGGGGGGTATTTGTTTTGTATAATGTGCAATTAAAAGAAAATGCCTATGTAGAGATTAGTGAACTGGAAATGATTAATACTGGTTGACTAGAGTCATTTTACTACTGCTAATTAAATATAATATTGAGCATAAGCTAGATAGAAACAAAAGGAATACTTTAAATGGTCGGTATTTTTTTTTCTCAATCATTACCTTACCTATATAAAAGACCAATTGTTAAAACATATTCTTATATTTGTCACTTATTCCTGTGAGAGGAAGTGTCCAATACACAAGAGTCATACACAGAGCTACTTATATAATCCAGGTAGGTCAGGAGACAATACTGAACCCTTGTGCAGAGGGG
The DNA here is from genome assembly GCF_000001405.40 of Homo sapiens. Taxonomy (NCBI): domain Eukaryota; kingdom Metazoa; phylum Chordata; class Mammalia; order Primates; family Hominidae; genus Homo; species Homo sapiens. The sequence goes on along the minus strand of NC_000011.10, from coordinate 55,905,951 downwards.
ATTGCCTCCAGTAAAGAAATCAGCACTTATGAATCAGGTACTAACTTTTGCTATTTTTCTGGTTTACTTAGTATATTTCTTTAGTTCTTTTATTATTTTCCACTAAAAGTATCATATAAAACTAAAGGAGACTGTAAAACAATGTGAACATTTATTTTACTAACTTTAATCTAATTATTATTTTAAACATATATACATAGCTGGCAAGGAATGGGATAAAATGCTAGCACTGGCTGTAGAGATTTTTAGACATTATTAGCATTTCAATATCTAATCTGTACATGCATATATTTAAATGTTATATTGTAAAGAAAATCATTATTTTTAAAGATGTGTCTACAAAGGCAGCTTTTTAAATAAATTTAGACTGAAATATTAGAGACCTGCATGTTGATCACTAGACCATTTTTCAGATGTCATTCTTTTTCTGTTTTTCATCTATCTCCAAGTCTACTTTTCTTTTATGTCACAGAACAGAGGGAGACATGTATGATATTATACAAGATATAATTTGCTTAGATGAAATGTAACAATGGGATCAGTCATTAAAACGGCCCTCCAAAGACAGCCAATTTATTTTTAACTGAAGTCTAGCAGGTTTCAGAGGTATAGAAGAGAGGAGTCAAAGAAAACAAACAAACAAAAATTTGTTACCACTTCCTGGTAATTGGGATGGGGAACATAGCTCAGAAATGAATTTGTCTGAGGTTATGAGACTGTGTACATATGAATATTTTTGCACGTCTGATCTGTTGGTGAATGGATAATATGGATTCTATTTGATCAGGGAAGAGGGACCCATATAGTAAATCATAGTCTCTTTCTCTACCACCAGTGCTGCAGCATGACTGCAATTAGTTTCAAAATGTTCTTTATAATCTCCTCTGAGCAACAGCAGCTTTCAGAGGAGAGCATAGTTAGTTAGCCCTGGCATATTCCTGTCTGTCAACCCTAGCTTACTGATCATGGTGACTCTTCTACTCACTTTTCATGCAACCATCACCCTTCCTACCCCAGCAGTTTGTGAACTACAGACTGTCTCCATCCCAGTGACAATAGGATGCAGGTTTGGTTATTAACGCTGGATAGGACCTGGGGAGTTATTGGGAAAGTTAAGGAATGTTATATGTAAGAACCCGTCATTGCCCTGCCTCCTCCACATTTTTGGATGATGAGAGAAACATAATGGGATATACTCATTACCTGCACCTATCACTTAACTATGCTTGTCTATTACGAGATATCACAACCTTTCTACAAAACTGAAAGGAAAAGCAATAACAATAATCTTGCCATAAGATGTTGGTCATCTGGTCAAACTAATTATAAGAACAGTTACCTTGAACTCTGAGGACATCAATTTCCTAGTCTATAAAAGAGAAGTAGCAAAAATCACCATAAATAAATAATGCATAGGTTTTCATGAAATTAGCATGATTTAATATAAGTGAAAGTGTACTACAGCCTCTGTACATTGCCATACAAATATAAGAGATATTATTGTGATCATTTTGTTGATTTACTTTAAATTGGATATTTTTTAGTAGTTTGTTTATATCTTTATTTTTAATTACTGAAAAAAGACCATCAGTTTGACTATTAATATAGTAAGATAATATTAACCCTTCACTTCTGTTTTCTTCTTTCAAACCAGGGATTTCCAGATCTGAATGATGACTCTTAAGAACTGCACTGTGTTTACTGACTTTATATTCTTAGGACTTTCAGGTACACAGGATATACAGCAGGGGCTCTTTGTGCTTTTCTTCCTGATTTATGGCATAACTGTGATTGTCAATCTAGGGATGATCCTACTGATCAAGATGGATCTCAGACTTCACACACCCGTGTATTATTTCCTGAGCAATTTGTCTTTCTGTGATGTCTGCTACTCTTCCACGTCTCTCCCAAATGCTAGCTGATTTCTTATCGGACCAAAAGTGGATTCCGTATAATTTATGTGCCATTCAGATGTATTTATTTGGAGTCTTTGCAGATGTGGAATGTCTCATGTTGGCTGTCATGGCCTATGATCGTTATGTTGCCATTTGCAATCCACTTCTTTATACGATCACTATGCCCAGGAGGATCTGCACCCAGCTAGTGGCTCTTGCCTATGTTGTAGGTTTGGTGGATTCTGCAATCCACACCTGCTGCACATTCAGATTGTCATTCTGCAATTCTAATGTCATCAATCACTTTTTCTGTGACATCCCACCCTTGCTAGCCCTCAATCCTACTATTAATTGCTATTAATGAGATAGTGATGTTCACATTCGTTGGCTGTGTTGCGGGGTGCAGCATTGTCACTGTCTTCCTCTCCTACAGCTACATCATAATTACCATCCTTAAAATGAGCTCAGCTGAGGGCAGACGGAAAGCCTTCTCTACCTGCACCTCCCACTTGATGGCCGTGGCTGTATTTCATGGCACACTCCTGTTCATGTATTTCCGACCCAGTTCAAGTTACTCAATGGAAACAGACAAAATGGCCTCTGTTTTCTACACAGTTGTCATACCTATGTTAAATCCACTGATCTACAGCTTAAGGAATAGGGATGTGAAAGGTGCTCTGAAAAAAGCAATAAGCACTAAATTATATTCTGTATGAAACTGTGATTTCCATTCAAAAATAATAAAGTTCTGAGACTTAAAGTTCATGTAAATCGACATATGTTTCTGTAGTCTCACCCATACAGCCTTCAAGGTATTTTTAATTACTTACCATTGTGCTTAAATTGTGTGTAGTGGGCAGGAATTATTTGTCTTAGTCTTCCTTCTAAACCAAGGAGGAGTAGAAATAGATCCTTTTGTTGTTTTGCAGAGAAGATCCTTTTATATTTCCCCACTGTGTTCATGAATATGCCCCAGTGCTGTTGTGGGTTATAGTGAATCCTCTTCCCGCATCAATTTAAGAACCTTCCCTAAATTTCCAATTTCATAAAAAACATGCTGTATAAATACAGTTGCTCAGTCAAAGGGAGTTTTAGAGAATCAAACTCAGTCTGGTTTGTGTTCTTGCTATGTATGAGTATCATCCTATAAATGTCCAGCATATACTTATGAGTAAATAAGTAGTAAATAAATAAAAATAAATAAGAAATCTCTTGCCCTAGACATGAAATTCCATAAAGGTAATGTCTTTTCCTATCTTGTTCACCATTATTTCTGCTTTGTTATTTTTAATGTTTGGCCCCAGGATACAATTTATAAACAGTTATTCAATAAACACATCAATGTTCCTCACAAAATTCGTGCAAAAATGAGGCTTTGTACATTTACCAGAAAAAGAAATCCCTTTCATTTCATTCTAGTATGTTCACCTTGGATGAAATCCATCTGTACCTCTTGTCTTTTGGCCTAGGTTTGAAATAAGTTATCAGAAACAGAGATCATTTGATGTACTGAACAGTTTTTCTCAGATCCTCTGTTCCTCATGACGTCAGCAGACATCCCCAGGATCACCAACCCCAGATTTTTATTGCACTTCATAGTCTCAGCACCAGGCTCTGGACTTCCCTCCTGCCCTTACTCTGGGGAACAGGCATGCTGCTTTTGACAACCTATAGGACTGTATAATTGGAATTAAGGATCTGGACTTTCTCCAGAGGTCACTGGAAAAACAGCCTCAGTCTCCCTTGATGAATTTATAGCATTATACTATGTTAATGGTTTATACTATGTTTCATGGACATGTATATGTATACATGTTTTAACTCATATGAGTCATGTGAGTTAAAATTTCAAAACTGAAATGTCCAATTGATATAGGTTAAGTTGTAAAGTATGTTCAATGGAAAAAACACACAAATGACAAGTCATATTTACATTAGTATATCATTTATAATAACTTATATTGCTTCTTTGTGTATTTATGAAACAAACTGGAATCCTATTATAAACAAAATATTAATAGTGGTCATATCTAACTGATTGGCTATTAGGTAATCCTACAATATATTTCAATAATTTAATTAATGGCATATATTGTTCTCACTGAAATCATTTAGAAATTAACCAAGTTACGAAAAACATAACACGATTTTCAATTCTAAGGGTTATTCATTTTATTTTAAATTGTCATGAAGGAAACACGAAGGCACTCTTCTCTGGTGCTAGGAAGAAAAGGTAATAGATTATACAGGGTTTCATTTAAGCCTTCTCCCATAATTGTATATATAATTTTAGTTATAAATTGCATTGAGTGTTATATGTTTCAAAGCATCATAGGAGTGAAACAATTAATTAAAACATAAAACTTTTAGCAGAATATTTGTTTTGCATTACTAATTGAACAGAATTTTAAGACAAAAATATTTCACTATCTCTTAAGTGTTTCTTTTCCTCCATAATTTTAAATGGCATATTGATTGTTCATAGAATGTATCACTTATTAGGACCCCTCCATCACTTCCCAAATCATTCCCTAATGCAATGTACTTTTTATTTATTTATTTTTTTATTTCATTTCTGTTTATTAACTAAGCACCAATATGTGTTAGGCACTCTGTTGAGTAACAAAGATGAATACAGCACAGTCTTTGTTCTCCATGACTTGCTAATCAATAGATAAGATAGATTTGTAAGTAAATAAGTAGAGTTGTTTTGATGAGTGCTGTATTAGACATGAATAAGCTTATATAGTTGTACAGAAAAGGAGAATTTACTTCAGAGAGATTGAGAAGGGGTTTGGGTTGGTTTTGTTGTTATAATAAAGCTCTTAGCTCTTTAAGCTGACTCTGTAAATGACTCATTTGAGCAAGCAATGTACTTTTTAAAAAACATATTAATTATATTCATATCTATAAGAAAACTAAACACCAGGCATGGTGGCTTATGGTGGCTACCAGCACTCTGGGAGGCTGAGGCAGGCAGATCACTTGAGCTCAGAAGTTTCAGACCAACCTGAGTAAAATAGTGAGAACCTGTCTCCACAAATGCAGAAAAATTAGCCAACTAATGACTAAAGCAAGTGATTTAGTATCTATTAGCTATGGTCATTCCTAGCATTATTTTTGAATAATTAAAATAATGTATTCTTAAGATGTGACTGTCATAAGTGTTTATGATAATAAATTAATTGATATATTAACATACCTTCCAGACACAACTTCTAGAGAAGGATAAGAGATTGAATTCAGGCCACTGAAAATTCCTCCTCAGTACTAATAGAATGAATTTAAAATATTGAAAGATAGCACAATTAATCAACAGTGCCAGAAAAGAAAATTAGTTGAGCCAGGTACAGTGGCTCACGCCTGTAATCCCAGCACTTTGGGAGGCCAAGGCAGGCAGATCACTTGAGCTTGGAAGTTCAAGACCAGCCTGGGCAACATGGCAAATCCCATCTCTACAAAAAAATTAAATAAAAAAAGAAATCTGGGTTTGGTGTCATGCGCTTGTCATCCCAACTACTCAGGAGGCTGAGGTGGGAGGATGGCTTGAGCCTGGGAGGTCGAGGCTGCAGTGAGCTGAGATTGCACAACTGCACTCCAGCCTAGGTGACAGAGTGACAACCTGTCTCAAAATAAACAAACCAAAAAAACCCCAAATACTCATTTTATATAAAATTGGCTTCACTGTCCATTTTTCACATTATATGTAAGACAAAAAGATACTCCTTACTTATTTATTCACCTTTTTCATTAAAGACACCAATTTAATAGTCTTCATACATCACCAAGTCTACGTGTAGTCTTGGTTTGATTTGTTGTTTTTTTTTTTTTTGAGACGGAGTCTCGCTCTGTCGCCCAGGCTGGAGTGCAGTGGCGCGATCTCGGCTCACTGCAAGCTCCGCCTCCCGGGTTCACGCCATTCTCCTGCCTCAGCCTCCCGAGTAGCTGGGACTACAGGCGCCCGCTACCACGCCCGGCTAATTTTTTGTATTTTTAGTAGAGACGGGGTTTCACCGTGTTAGCCAGGATGGTCTCGATCTCCTGACCTCGTGATCCACCCACCTCGGCCTCCCAAAGTGCTGGGATTACAGGCGTGAGCCACCGCGCCCGGCCGTTTGTTTTTTATTGTTTTATTTCATTTTAAAAATTGATAAATACAGGAGAAAATTTAAGATAAGAATTTGGACTTGAAGTGAGACTGACATGGGTTCACATCTGTATGTGAACTATCAGTCACTCTCAGTTACATGTTAGCTGCGTGACCTTAGTTTACTTAACAAGGTTAGGTCTCAGTTTCCTCATTTCTTTAACATGTGTTTAATATATGCATTATAAGATTAAAGCTACATATCTTTGTCTCTAAGTATAAATATAGATGTATATTATATCTGTTTTTGTGTGTGTATACACACACACACACACACACACACACACACACATATAAACTCCCTTGATTAATCTCAGGGATTAGATATATATCAATGATATCTATCTATCTATCTATCAATCATCTATCTCCTTAAGATTGATGAAGGGAGTTTCCAAGAACATACTGAGCCCACTCTCCAGTACTAACCTCCTAGTACTGAAAGAAAGTTTGATATTGTTCTCAGCATCATGTTATGAAACAGTCTGCAGGCTCCATCTTCTTCTATCCTCTTTACAACCTGCTCAACTAGTTGGTCACATTACAATTACCAATCCTAGCCTCAGGTCATATTTCTAGCTGGCTGCCAAGCTACCTTAGGACATCTTTTTTTCTGATCCTGGTTAGAGCTGAGTAGAGGTTTCTTCATGGCTACCCGTGCTGGCTGTACCATTCCTATGTTAAGGTCAGGAGACTGAAACTATACTATTGATTTAAGTCCTAGACCCCACAATCCCGAGAAGTCAGTTTAGGTAATTAATCCCAGAGTACCTCATTTTTACCTTAAGATGTGAAACTTTATCCCAAGGGCTGTGACTGACATGCCATGTGTTCATACAAAGGAATCAATATCTATTCATTGTGATGAACCCTTGCACGTAAAACATTTCCTATTCAATATTTAGGATGAAGCACGTGGTTCTTATTAATTTCAGGATGCTAATTCGGTCTTCACTATTTATTTACTTTTTATTTTTTCTTTTTTTGAAATTTTATTATTATTATACTTTAAGTTTTAGGGTACATGTGCACGATGTGCAGGTTCGTTACATATGTATACATGTGCCATGCTGGTATGCTGCACCCATTAACTTGTCAATTAGCATTAGGTATATCTCCTAATGCTATCCCTCCCCCCATCCCCACCCCACAATAGTCCCCAGTGTGTGATGTTCCCCTTCCTGTGTCCATGTGCTCTCATTGTTCAATTCCCACCTGCGAGTGAGAACATGCAGTGTTTGGTTTTTTGTCCTTGCGATAGTTTGCTGAGAATGATGGTTTCCGGCTTCATCCATGGCCCTACAAAGGACATGAACTCATCATTTTTTTATGGCTGCATAGTATTCCATGGTGTATATGTGCTACATTTTCTTAATCCAGTCTATCATTGTTGGACATTTAGGTTGGTTCCAAGTCTTTGCTATTGTGAATAGTGCCGCTATAAACATACGTGTGCATGTGTCTTTATAGCAGCATGATTTATAATCCTTTGGGTATATGCCCAGTAATGGGATGGCTGGGTCAAATGGTATTTCTAGTTCTAGATCCCTGAGGAATTGCCACACTGACTTCCACAATGGTTGAACTAGTTTACAGTCCCACCAACAGTGTAAAAGTGTTCCTATTTCTCCACATCCTCTCCAGCACCTGTTGTTTCCTGACTTTTTAATGATCACCATTCTAAGTGGTGTGAGATGGTATCTCCTTGTGGTTTTGATTTGCATTTCTCTGATGGCCAGTGATGGTGAGCATTTTTTCATGTGTTTTTTGGCTGCATAAATATCTTCTTTTGAGAAGTGTCTGTTCATATCCATTGCCCACTTTTTGATGGGGTTGTTTGTTTTTTTCTTGTAAATTTGTTTGAGTTCATTGTAGATTCTGGATATTAGCCCTTTGTCAAATTAGTAGGTTGGAAACATTTTCTCCCATTCTGTAGGTTGCCTGTTCACTCTGATGGTAGTTTCTGGCCAGGGCAATGAGGCAGGACAAGGAAATAAATGGCATTCAATTAGGAAAAGAGGAAGTCAAATTGTCCCTGTTTGCAGATGACATGATTGTATATCTAGAAAACCCCATCATCTCAGCCCAAAATCTCCTTAAGCTGATAAGCAACTTCAGCAAAGTCTCAGGATACAAAATCAATGTACAAAAATCACAAGTATTCTTATACACCAATAACAGACAAACAGAGAGCCAAATCATGAGTGAACTCCCATTCACAATTGCTTCAAAGAGAATAAAATACCTAGGAATCCAACTTACAAGGGATGTGAAGGACCTCTTCAAGGAGAACTACAAACTACTGCTCAATGAAATAAAAGAGGATACAAACAAATGGAAGAACATTGCATGTTCATGGGTAGGAAGAATCAATATCGTGAAAATGGCCATACTGCCCAAGGTAATTGATAGATTCAATGCCATCCCCATCAAGCTACCAATGACTTTCTTCACAGAATTGGAAAAAACTACTTGAAAGTTCATATGGAACAAAAAAAGAGCCCGCATCGCCAAGTCAACCCTAAGCCAAAAGAACAAAGCTGGAGGCATCCTGCTACCTGACTTCAAACTATACTACAAGGCTACAGTAACCAAAACAGCATGGTACTGGTACCAAAACAGAGATAAAGACCAGTGGAACAGAACAGAGCCCTCAGAAATAATGCCGCATATCTACAACTATCTGATCTTTGCAAACCTGACAAAAACAAGCAATGGGGAAAGGATTCCCTATTTAATAAACGGTGCTGGGAAATCTGGCTAGCCATATGGAGAAAGCTGAAACTGGATCCCTTCCTTACACCTTATACAAAAATTAATTCAAGATGGATTAAAGACTTAAATGTTAGACCTAAAACCATAAAAACCCTAGAGGAAAACCTAGGCAATACCATTCAGGACATTGGCATGGGCAAGGACTTCATGTCTAAAACACCAAAAGCAATGGCAACAAAAGCCAAAATTGAAAAATGGGATCTAATTAAACTAAAGAGCTTCTGCACAGCAAAAGAAACTACCATCAGAGTGAACGGTCTTCACTATTTAAAGTGCACATTGGCCAGAGTTCTACCTCACCAATGTTCTGTATAAACAAATCCCTTCTTGTTTTAAAAATCCATCCAACTGCAGTGAATGAAACTGCTCTAGATTTACAACCCAGCAAACACTTTCACTGTCAGAGGCTTTCCTCTCTAGTTCATCCCTCTATCCCACTATTCATCCTCACCTTTGAGTTTAACACTGTTTTCACACTTTCCAGCCATACCTTCCCTCTGGATTATACCCCAGTAGTCAACTAACTTCTCTCCCACCATCTGTAGGCTCTAGTTCTCATCTCTGGCTCTGAGAGAATAGCTTACCTCAGAAATTTCAGCTGTTTGCTTGCCAATCAAGAGATTTCAGACTCAACATATCCTAGAGAAAAACTTTTATGACCAAGTTTTAATTTATTCAATGTTCAAAAACTGTCTTTTAAAAAACCATCACACTTAAAAATATCTTGTAATAATCACAGCACCACTGTGGAGGATGAACTAAAAATACTGAAGAAACATAAATGGTTTCTTCACATTGGAAGCATGTGATCTAAACTAAAAAAAATCAATATTACACATATTTATTTCATAAAAATTCACTCAGAATCTATTCTGGGGAGGAAACTATGATAAAGAGTCAAGGTATCAAATAATGAATGAGAATTAATGAATAATTTTGGTAGAGGGATAGAACACAGGCACAAAAGCTACACAGTAAGATAGAAAATAATGAGTCTTCAAAGAAGCATATCTAAGGTCCTAGTGAGAATTACAATACAAATTATCATCTGAAATTGAAGACAGACTAAGAAAACAAAATTGCCTATGGATTAATATATCAGGAAGGCTTTTTAGATTGAGCAGGATTTAAACAGCTAAGATACAGTGTGCATATATTTACATGGAAATCAAAAGTAATTGATAAACAGTTCCAGTGAACTGCATTTATTTTCTGTCATGGGAAAGTAATTATACTATGCCAATTGCTTATCCATTATTGGGAATAATTGAGATAAAAGTGTTCCTGGTCTTTTTCCTTAGTTCAGCTAAGAACTGGGTCCTTATCACACAGCCATGAAACATTAGGCTTGCAGGCGATTTGAAGGGTGAGAATAACAGGATTTATTGGGCAAAAAGGAAAAAAGGTGGAACAGGGACTGTCTGCAAGGCCAGAGTTTCTGCTGATGTAGGCTTCCCCCACCACAGTTTGAATTCCAGTTTCCACCCAGGAAGAGGAGGGGTCATGCTCTTCCCCACTACAAATAGCATGGACTTCTGTGGTTGCACCTCACTGTGCACGCAGTACATAGGCCGGTTGGAATTTTGCCACGGACCCCCTCCCACCTCGTTGTCTCATTCTGCCCTCTAAGGAAGTACGTCTAACTGCCCTTGCAATGAGGATAAGGATAAGGATGAAGACTGATCTTTACTGCTTCCTGCTGACAGGGGGCGGTGTTCTGTGGAACCAGCAGTCAGAACTCCCTCAGAGGCCTATTTGAGGGTTCCCAGCAGAAGGGGCCTTTGTCAAAGGCTCCAATTACATGACCATTTGGAGTTTGATGACCCGAAGGCAGGAAGAGACAAACCAGGTTATTAGAAAACATGTATCAAAATAAAACAAGGGTGAGATAAGGACAGTTCAAAAATCCCGAGGTGTTTTATCAGCTTGGACAAGTAGAGGGAGGCCAAAAGCCCAGCTGGTTAAAAAATAATAATAATGAATAAAAAATAAAACTTTACCCTTTTGCTGACATGTTGGGCTTCTGGGTTCCCTTCCCCTGAGCCCAGTCCTAAGCCAACCAGTTTGAAGTTTGGGAAATTAACTCTTTCCAGTTTGGAGGATGCATCTGAGGGGAGTATCCCACAGCACAGACACACAATTACCTATCTGTGAAGAGAGAACCAAGGAGGAGAAAGAAAAAAAGAAGGCATTTTTAGCATTTTTTTTCAAAGGAGTCCCAGGGATTCGGGATGCATTCAAAAAGAGTTAAGACTCAAGATAAATGGCCACCCATCTAGAAAGAGGGGCGCAGGCATCCCTGGTTCCTTTCTATCCATAGCCGATACCAGGGGTATGTGAGTGAGAGAGGGAAGAGCATCCTTTTTCTATCTTCTGTCCTTTCATCCCCGAGTCCCAGAGAACTTGGCAGGTGCTGCCATGGGTGTTAAAGCGCTTGCACCCATGAAGCAGGGGGCCTACAGGGTGGGAACTCTCCACTGTACCCACGTACACCCTATCTCTCCTGCTGTCAGTAGCCTTGGAGTTCCCTGGACCTCATTTATGCAATGGATATTAATGTGGCCTTTATCCGTGAAATGGGAAGCTTGGCTTAATTGGCAGGAATCAGCCATGTCCACCTGCACTGTGCTTCTTAACTTGTCTGCCTCTGGATCCCTTAGATCCAGTTTTCTTTCCTAGGGCTTTGACCTGAGTTTGGAATTGAGTTTGGGACAAAGATGTGTCTCAGGGGGGTTGCATGGACTCCTTATCATATGCCGAATGCTAAGGTGAAACTTTAGAACTGAGCCCTCCTCCAACAAGGGAGAGAAAAGGATGTCTTGTGACACACCCAATTAACTGCGGGCTATAGTTAGGCTTCCTAGGGTTTAGGGGCATGGGGCTTGGCTTTGCTTAGCTCCCTTGGTCTTACTTTCCCAAAGGGAAACCTCCAAGTGATGAGCATCTTATTTATTCCCATCACCTGGCAGGATTTGCAGGATAATTGCTCAGAATTAGAATGTTGATTCATATTTGTACATTACCCAAGTCTTTTGTTCTTTCCAGCAACTGGAGATTGCTGGTTGGTTCACAGGAAAAAGCAGGATTAGTTTAAAATGTAGCCAAAAACTTAAAACCTGTCCAACCTTCAGGTGTAGGTCTAAATCCTCCACATATTTTTTTCCTATTTTTTCTTTTCCCCTTTCCAAACATCAATTAGTTTTACCAGCATCCCAAGGGCAATGGCATTCCTTATATTTCCCTTTGTAGTTTTAGGTTTTGTTACACAGGGGAGACGGGGAGGTAAATACAAGTCTTAAAATGTGATATTCTCTGAATCTCTTCACAGACTGTAAAACAAATGTATGTGGCACATATACACCGTGGAATACTATGTAGCCATAAAAAGGATGAGTTCATGTCCTTTGCAGGGACATGGATGAAGCTGGAAACCATCATTCTCAGCAAACTAACACAACAACAGAAAACCAAACACCGCATATTCTCACTCATAAGTGGGAGTTGAACAATGAGAACACATGTACACAGGGAGGAGAACATCACACACTGGGGTCTGTCTGGGGTGGGGGGCCAGGGGAGGGATATCACTGGGATAACTACCTAATGTAGATGACGGGTTGATGGGTGCAGCAAACCACCATGGTGCGTGTATACCTATGTAACAAACCTGAACGTTCTGCACATGTACCCCAGAACTTAAAGTATAATAATAAAAAAAGTTTTATGTCTTAATGTTGATGTTAAATTATCATAAATTAAATTATATATATATGCATTTGAAAAATTAGACAAAACATCAAATTCATTTATTTCAAACTTCTTATTTTATACGTTAAAATACTTAATATATATATATATAAAATTCTCTTCTGCATGAAAAATGCTTATAGTTTCTCTCCTTGATTTCAATGCTTCCTGTATCTTATCCTGCTTAATTTTTAAGTTTCTTAGCCATTGCCTTCCAAAACATTATTCAATATTCTAACTTCTAGCATCAATTAATGGAGTTCACAATTTATCTAAATAAAACACTGTAATATAACACTTGTATGTTTCAATTCTTTTCTTAAACTTCTCTTTGAGATTCATTAATTTGTTGCATTTCGATGTTATCTCTGTTTTGTAAAATTCTTTTGTACGATGAGATCACAATTTATTTAGCAATTCTACTGTTGATGAATATTTATTTTGTCTCCAATTTGGAGCTACTATAAAAATTGCTGCAATGATCAACATTGTGTTTATCTTTAAATACACATAGGCAGTCTGTGGAATATATTTTAGAATTAGAATGTCTAGCCCATAAGGAATGCTCATAGTCAGTTTGCCAAAAAGTATTTCAGTTTACATCCCTCCAGCCATGAATAACTTTCATTGATTCTTTATCTTTCACAACACACAATATTATGTGTCTTTAAATTTTGCTAATTTTTATGGAGGCCTGTAGTTCAACTTATGAATTAATTTTTATTATTCTGAGGACTAATACAAGTAATTCCTTTTTCATATTGGTCCAGATATTTATGCCTCCAACTTTATGAAGTGCCTATTCAAATATTTTCCCAATTTTATGTTGGTTTCCTTTTCTTTTATTTATTACATTCATTAATCACATGTATTGTATTTTATTGCATATATGTAGGGATAAATATTTTTCTCCACTCTTGGTTTGCATTTTAATTCTTGGATGGTATATTTTGAAACACAGAAGTCACCATTTTTTATATAAGCTAACTAAATTTTTCTTTTTAATTGTCCCTTTTTTGTCCTGGTTAGGAAATCTTTCTGTGTGAGAATATTTTATTGTGTTCCCTTCACCTTCAGAGCATGAATCCATGTGGGAATGCACTGTGTATGGTATGAGGTAGGGGTCAGTATTCAGTTATGTCCATTTGAATATTTAATTGATCCAGCATTGTCCTGATCCCCTTGTAAATTTCACTGTAGAACAGCACTCTAATAATGCATGAGCATTTTGTTTATAAGATGAGATTTACAAAGATAAGCACAGCATAGGAGGTCAAATAAGATTACCTCAAAGTATAGGTTCATAAATAAAACACATGGATAAGTATAATATTGTTAGATGAAGAGAAAGACAATATTTCCAGGTTACCACTGAGTCTTTTTACTCCAACTTTTTTCATGAAGCCCAAGATCTCTACTTTCTTCCATTGATTTTAACTTCATTTAGACAACTCTGTCATCTATTATTTCACTTTGTGACATTCAGAAATAATTAAAAACCAGATAATATATTCTATGCCATACATCATGGGTAATGATTTTCCAAAAATGATTTAAAAAGGAATCAATACACATGGTTTTAATGTTTTCACCATATTTAATAGAAACACTATAAATGAGTTTTGATGACATTAGAATGCAACTAAAGACATTAAATATAACTTATTTGTTCTGTTTGATGAGGTGCGAAAAAGAGGGCTTTCTGGGATAAACAGGTTCCCAGAGCATACAGGCACATTTCTGACTTTTCTCTGGTCAGAAGTGACTACAGCAAAAGATAGGCCTGAGAGGAGGTGAGAAGGAGCAATTGGGGATGGTGTATATCAGGGAACTTTGATCAACATCAACAAAGCTCACGGTTCTACCTTCACAATCCAGGAATAATCCTACTGTGCTGGTAGGTCTTGGAACATATTGCACCACAAGTGGGGAGGTGGTAAAGAGACTGCAGTGAGTGTCCTCCTTAACACATCCAAGAAGAAAGAGTCCCTCCTCTCCATCTATCTTGTCATTCTGTCTCTTCTCTTTCCAATAATTGTTACAGACACCAAAAGCCCAATTCCAAGAGTCCCCCATATGAACCTCCCAATAATATTTGCCAGATGTGAAAGCCTGAGCCCCCCATACAAGAAAACATTCAGATTTTCCAGTGATATCGGGATCATCTTGAGGGTCACATCCAACATTCATGCTTCTCAAATCTCCACACAGGAAGATATGACTATTGGCTCTTTCAGGCTGCAGAGTAAAATCAACTGCAAAAATAATTTTTAAAAAATATAGATACATGTAATTAATAGAAATTAGAATTCTTGAGGGAAATGTTGTTCTACCAAGAGTTTACTTTACCAAGAAATTTGAAGTTACAAGGACAGGAGAATTGTGACTACAACATTTAATAAAGTATAAGGATGATTAATATTCTCTATAGGAAGAACAAAACCCTAGAAACACATTGAAAATTTATTGAAAACTTAAAAATTGAGAGTCGAATATAAGACCAGCCTGTTTCAATCCAATCTCCAATGTAAAAATGAATTATTTTATGCCCTGAATGCCCTTTAGCTATCAAGGTCATTATTATTAAAATATTTCTTGTTCTTAAATACTAGTGATATAATTTTGGCAAGAATGGGAAGATTTTAGCTTACTCAAGCACCGCTCTAGATAACTGGATAAAAGTCCATATGTTCAAATTATAAGTGGTAACTTAAGGCAGATTTTTGCAAAATCTTTTACCAGTCACTTTGCGGACATCCGTGCTAGCTCTAGACTGAAACCGAATTTTGGATTTTACACCTAGCTCTTCATGTTGTAACTAAACTGAAATTATCATTTCCATTTTTACTTCCTATTTACATAATAATTTCTTCTTTCTTTTTACATGTTAAGTCAAATTTTACATTATATCAATAAAATATATTTATTGTAAGAAAGTACAAATACTCCAACAAACTGCAGTGAACTCTATTCCCCAATGAAATGTGTTTAACAATTCAAATGAAATACAGTAAAGAAATGTAAAATTTTTATGTAACCTTGGATTATTATGCTTCCTTCTGAGCATTTTTCCATTTATTCAATTTTTTATTTCTTATGTCATTCCATTTACCCAATATATAACTCTATCCATGTGAGCCCAGAACATATTTGTTTTTCACTATGTTGTACTCTTCATGTTATAATTTGGACTATAAATAGAAACACAGATATAAAAGGGTTGCATAGTCATATGGTTCACTTCCTGCTGAAATGAAATAAAGATTTGATGAAGGGTAAAATACTACCCCCATGATTCTAACAAGAAGTAATAGACTGTGGGAATTCTGCCAATGGGCTGACACTCACCTCTGAATCCACTGAGGCTGTCCAGCAGTCCAGTGATGGGCCCTGCACTGAGCTCTGGATTCACAGGCTCAGACACTTGCAGCAGCAGAGACTCATACCTGCAAGGGGAAAGATAGGGTTATCACATCTACAGCCAAAAAAAATACATAAAAAACACCACTCTTATTTAAAAGACATTTCATGAGAATCCCTTTAACCCACACATTTGCTAATTCCAAAATTATCATTTTATTTTTCAAATCCATTCTTATTCACAGTTCCTCATTTTCAAGCACGATGGAAAAGTCTATCTGACTGAGAATTCATTAGGATCTTTCTTCGTATTGCTCCTAGTTAGTAAGGATCATTAGTCTTAAGACTGGGAGAATAATCAAAAATGAAATTCTGGGTTCCAGACCTCACCAGAAATTCCTGAAATCACTGTCTGGAAAAGTGGGGTTATTTTTAAGACTGCTGCGTCTGTTGCTCCCTTCTCAAGGCCAGGGTGTTGAAACTTGCTCCAGGCAGGGAGATCTGCCTTTTGTAGTTGAGGTTCTCTGGAGGCCTACACGGTTCAAACATTCCGAATAGTTTGCTTCATCCATTTTTCAGAATTATATATTTAAATATAAACTAGAAATCATCAACACTTTTCACTGCTAAAATACTTTCCCCTTTTCTCTCTGGCTTCCCCTGGTTGACTTTGTAGCCATGTAGAAAATGTAATATTTTCTCTTTCAAATATGAATGTTTTGAGCAATAAAAAGGAAATTAGGAATACAGATGCTCACTTCCTTTATTTTTCTTTCGTTTATTTATTTTTTGTTTTATTTATTTATTTATTTATTTTTTTGCTTTTGCAGAACTTTCATTGAGCTGCTTAATAAAGTCACTGAGTATGGCAACAAAATAGATGACTACATGGGGTGGGGGATGGAGAAAGTACAACCAGCACAAGGCAGTATCACTATCTGAATCAATTATACCTTCAATATCAAAGTTCCTGCTTGATATTTGTGGAAACTGAAAGCATCTGCTAAAATCTTGGTGTGCACTCACCTGTGTAATATGTCTCCAAAAGCCTGTAAAAAAAAAAAAATAGAAAGGCTTAGCGCTTTCCACAAGATGCATCTTCCAGTAAGTTCAGAGTGAGATTTGGAGACAGTTTCTGAAGATACTATTTTCCTACAATGTTCCCTCCTGGAAAGCATTTTCTGTTTCTTTTCTCATGACAATCCCAGTCTATCATATGTCATGAATTAATGTCCTGATAAAGTCTAAGTCTTGAAGACATTCTCTTCACAAGTGAAGGGAGAGGAGGCCCACAGAGTCTATGCTCTGTGGTAACCATAAAGAAGCTACTCAGTCTTCTTCCCTAAGCCCTGTTACCAAAATGAGTGGACCCCAAAATAATATTAGTGTGATCCTAGATTCCCCAACTTCTCCATCATGCCATGTCTCCAAATTAGCCTAAATGCCAATGAATCACTTCTCATTTTTTCCACTTTCAAAAATCCTAAATTAATCAGTGACTTTTGATGGGAAATATTTCTTGGTGCTGTCTGTTACCTTAGCCATTCTACAAAGTTTTGTTGCTGGTGGATGAAGTAGGAGGGACCTTCGGTCTAGTAGAATCACTAGGAGAGGCTATACCCTCCCAACCAAGTAGCATTAGTTATGGAATCGTGTTTTTGGAAACAAATAATGGAAGTGAAGGGGGAGACGGAGTTCAGGAGAGAGGAAAAACACCCATGTATGTGAATGTTCAACATCATGATACCCCATGGTCAGTCCATACCTGGAGTAGCTCCACATCTGCTTTATGGCACATTTGCTTCAGATCCTCATACATTCCTCTTAAAAGCTCCCTGGAATGTTCCATTCTGGCTTTGCTTTCATTGAGTTGCTGAAAAATGTCCTCGCCCTCCTTTCGCAGCCTTTCCAAGTGATGTTGCTCTTCTTCATGGAGAAATGCAGGCATCTTCTGATATTCAGCTCTGATTGCTTCTATCCTTAAACTCACATAATCCTGCAGTGACAATTAGTCAAAATAGAAATGTTTTACCCATCTTCTCTTGAATTTCACTGATTCCTCTTAGCATTCTAAACACCCAATATTTTAATCCTCAATCTTGTCAATTCTCAGATTCCACAAAATTTTATCCCTTTTATTTTTTTTTCTGTACTAATATCAACATAGTTGTTTCTGCCCAGTTACATTTACTTGATTAATGATAAAATGTTTTCTAAGATAGTTATATAAAAATGGATTTCCCTCTTCCACACCACATTTATAGAAAGAAAACACAGTTCTTGCTTAAGAATCAAACTATCGAGTTATATTGACTAGGTAAGAAACCATTATTTCTACTTTGGAGAACTGGGGCAAGTTATGTAAAACCATTATCTGACAAATGATGACATGACCCAGACTAGCATTGTCAACTCAATGCATTTCACCCAGCATAACATATTCTAATAAGGTTTCATTTATTCTCTTCCAAACTCACCCTAATCGGCAACATGGGCTTCTTTGTGGTTCCTCAAACCCCCAAATAAATGCAAATTAAATATTACTGTACATGCTGTTTTCTATACCTAGAATTATTTTCATATATATATACATATTTCTCATATATGTACTCATATATATATTTCTCAAATATAGGTATATATGGATATATGAGGAATATATATGTGTATCTGTGTGTGTGTATATATATATTCCTCAAATGTATCCATATATATATATATATATACCAACATCCAGATACACATATATATTCATATATTTATGAGGAAGAGGAAGGCAAACAGGAGGATATACACATTTCCTCCTGATCAAGATTTTGTTTCAGTGTGAATTTTTCCATGAGCCTTTTTTCTGACCACCCTATTTAAAACTCAAACCCTCATCCCCAGTCCCTGGCCTCTGTGCTCCTTTTCTACTTTCCTGCTTGATTATTCTCCAAAGACACTACTACACTCTAACACATCATGTACTTCACATATCTGCATGGTGACCATTTGCTTTTCTCATTTCCATGGCAAGATTTGTGTGTTTTCTTTCTTCTTTACACCTTAATTTTCTAAGTTGATATTTGACATAGGCTAGGTACTCATAAAATACCTTTCAATGAATGAATATTAGAATAAATTAATGAATGAATATCAGATATCATACCCTCAATATAAACATCCACAAAGAGAAAATCATTTCTAGAATTCTTCTCAAGTCCTTAGACTTCTCCTTATATTAAATACTAGTTCCCATATTTCTCACATATTTATGTCTTCATCAAGACACAAGTGTACATTTCTCGCCACTTTTCCCATTATGTGTTATGGCTTATTCAATATTAATTAGTGCTGATATTTCATTTCATGCTTTCTCTAAGGTTGTGCTCTTGCTCCTTCTGCCTGAAATTTAGCTCACATTTCAATCTACTTGCCCACCAGGATTCAAATTCATACTGAC
This sequence comes from Homo sapiens, assembly GCF_000001405.40. Taxonomy (NCBI): domain Eukaryota; kingdom Metazoa; phylum Chordata; class Mammalia; order Primates; family Hominidae; genus Homo; species Homo sapiens. The sequence goes on along the minus strand of NC_000011.10, from coordinate 55,886,582 downwards.
TCAGCCTTAGAAGGGTCACCTGAAATTTCCATGACTGACAAATAACTCTTGTGTCCAGAATTTATCCAGGCAGCCCATTGGGAAGAGTGTGAAGTGTCCCAGTTTCTTGTATTTGCTGGGGTATTGCTATAGGTTTGTATGGAAACAGATGAGCATGCTTGGGTAACATCTGTGGTCTGATTAGATATCCTACCAAAGAGTCACACTAACTTATATAAAAAATTAGGGTGTTTTTTTCTCAAGTGTTTTTTCCTTGTTTATTGAATTCCAGAAACATTATGGGTTGAGATCAAGTTCCTATTTTAAGAGTCACCCATTTGTTCACTATAAGTTCCCGGAGAAGGTAGAGTCATACGGTACTAACCTTCCAGCATCTGGTTCTTGTGGTTTCCATGTTCAGATTTCTGAGATTTTCACAAGCTTTTTCCCATAAAGACTGCATTTTTTTTAGGAGCTCCTCCTGCAAAACAGCCACGAATTGAAGCACAAGTGAGGACAATAAAGTATCATTCACACTCTGATATACGAAGGACCCAAAATGAGAGACAAATTAACCCACAGAAAAGAGAGTTTGCTTTGTTTCTCCTCATGTTTGTCAAATCTGAGAGGTGTGAAGTCAAGGAAGCTCATAACAGACATGCTTAAGGGGACACAGAGATGGCATCATCCAATCTCGAAGGAAATAGACTTACAAGAATTTCATGTGTCCTGTATAGAAATAGATCTTCAGAGGCATCACTTACCCGGCGTTCCTCAGCAGCCCACTCAATGGGACAGTGTATGTGATTCCGGTGCTCCTGAGAGTTGGAGCACGGCAAACAGAGCAGGCTCTTGTCCACTTCACAGAACATCTTCTTTGTCTCTCTGTGCATCCCACATATTTGCTCCTCAGAGCTAAGGAATTGCCGGAGGCTGGCTTTTCTGGCAATGAAAGCCATGTTCTTCAAACAAATGTCAGTGTTGAGGTTTCTCTGCCGCGTTGTCTTCTTGCATTCAGAGCACTGAGCAAGAACTGCCGTGTCTTGCCAGTTGAGGTACAAACAGGGCCGGCAAAAGCTGTGCCCACAGTCTATGGTGACTGGGTCTAGGAAGTAGTTCATGCAGATGGGACAGGTGAGTGCCCTCTGGAAGACTTGCAAGATTCCAGAATTCATGTTTCTGAAGAAGAAAGAGCAGCATGTCATTTTGGGGTCTGGGTTGGTGAAAATCCGTGAACATGTGGTGATATGTGATAGCTATATTTTCTTCTTGACAGTGCTCATTAAAGCGGAACAAACTATTTCCTCTGTAACAAAAATGAAAAATTCAAACACAAAGAGAGTCTTTAGGCTTTTTAGCAGACACTGCTGACTAGATGACTCACAACCTCTTCTACTCCTGGTTCCTGCCCATAGCATAATGCAAATCTGTTCAAAAACCTACTCCCTGGATGTCGACATGAAACTCGGGTTTTAATCTTAAGTGGTCTAGAATGAAACATGCTTGTCCCTATTTCTCTTTCAAATAACAACTGAATGACTATGGGAGAGGAGTAGAAAACCTACATTGGGTAACAAAACATGAGAAGATGGTCAGAGGTTGCTATGACATATTTTTAGAGAGAGGGACCGAGAAGCCGGCTCTTTAAAACAAAAACAACCCCAGAACAAACCAACCGACCAGATTAAAAAAAAAAAGACAGCAATTAAACCAGTCTAGGATCACTAGGAGATAAAATAAATAATGAAAAATGTTGGGTTTATTTTTCTTATGGCTTAAATTAACTTCTTCTTTGGGCTACTCAAACTATGAACTGACATATAGTCAGTTTTTTAAAAACTGAAATATATATCATTATATTACTATGGTATTATGGTTAATTATAGGTGTTGACTTGACTGGATTAAATAATACATGGAGAATTGGTAAAGCATGATTTCTGGGTGAGTCTGTGAAGGTGTTTCCGGAGAGTCATGTAAGTTGGTGAGCTGAGTGGGCAACAGCAGCCCTCAGTGTGGGTGGACACTATCCAATCAGCTGGTAGCTCAGACTGAAGATAAAGGGCAGAGACAAGGCAGTTTCCTCTCTTTCTCCTGAAGCTGATTCTAACTCAGCCAGGATATTGGTATCTCCAGGACACTACCTTAATGACAGCCTATGTTCAACTTCTCAGACTCCATAATCAAGGGAACAAATTCCCCTAGTGGACTTCCTCTCCTGTACAGTGTCATGTGTAGAGTGAGGACAGATATATGATCTGAGGGACGCGTTAGACAGTCTCGTTATTGTTTGAACATCATAGGGTATACTTACACAAACCACACCTATGGTATACAGTATAGCATATTGTTCCTAGGCTACAAACCTGTATGGTATACGATAGGCAATTGTACCACAATTGTAAGTATTTTTGGTATGTGTATATATATATATATATATATATATAGTTATAGTTATGTACACATCCTATGGTTCTGTGTCTCTGGAGAACCCTGACCAATACAAACTGTAATCTTTGCCTTGGCAGTTTGAAGTCCTTTACCTTACTCTCTTTTACTAAACACTGCTGAATTTAAGTGCCAAGAGTGAAAATTTAAGAATTGCAAATATTTTTCAGAGGCCATCTGAGCCATTTCAAGGAATTTTTCACAGTTTCATCTGAGGTAAACCTCAATTAAAATGACAGCTAGTATCAAGTATCAAATCATTCCTTATACAGTTATCTGCTAAACAATCGTGTTTTGATTTCTAAGCTAGGGTATTTTGGAGAGCATTCTTATTTCCTTTAGTATCACCATTTTTAACTCATCATTGCCTCAGTAACTTAAAATCATGTCTAAAAGCTTAAGGTTATGAAAGCACAACATTTACAGTATTCAATAATTATCCTTTTTTACTTAATTAAGTGTACCAATATTAGTACATGCAGTACACATATATATGTTTTAATATGAATTCCATATACCCATGATGCATACAAATCTATTGCAGCAAACACTAGATATCTAAAATTTTTCAAAAATATATCAAACACTTTTGGAACACACAAAATGACAACAATAACCTCATGTCATAACCTCATGTCATAAAATGAATAGCAATAATATGAGTTACAAATAAGATCATTCGGTAAGTTTAGACAGTTAGATATTTTTATCACTGTAATTTACTATTTTAAAGGAAGAGAGAAATAATTTTCTCCATAGAAGTTGCACTCACCCCAAGGTTCTATGAATGTTTCCTGCAGTAATTCTTCCAAGAAAAAATTCTTTTAAGTACTCCCCAAGATCAGGAGCTCATTCCCTGCAGAGTTGACTTTCAGAGGTCATCACTTGAATGCAGTTAACTCTAAGTGCTGTCCTCCTCTGGAGAAATATGAGCTTGTCTCTTCTACATCCATTTAGGTGAATCTTTGAAGACCACAACCACCTATTTAGTGATATTTAGGGTATTAAGAAAGGTGGAGACAGAGATGATTAGGTTTATGCAATATTTAGTACACGCCTTTTCATCACTGATTAAATTAGCATCACACTATCATTGTAAAAACCACTGCCTGAATGAGGCATATCTATCATCAATCTTATCAGAGTAAACATATGCTAGAAATTAACTAAGTTGATTAAACTGTTTCTTGAGTTTCTTCCCAAGGCACAAGCATTCCTCTAAGTGCACATTTATTTATTTATACCAAAGAAAGTTTCACCCTCTGGAGTGCAGTGGCACAGTCTTAGCTCACCGCAGCCTTGAATTCCAGGGCTCAAGTAATCCTCCCACTTCAGCTTTCAAAGTAAAAAAGACTAGAGGTTTATGCCATTGCACCTAGCTAATTTTTCATTTATTCATCAAAAATATTTTTAAAATTCTTAGGTGATTACATGTGTTACAGTGACCATCCGGATTAGAATTAGATTAGGTTTAAAATGATGAAAGAATCTGGGAGAGGGGGCAGAGTGTTGGTTGTTAATTAGCACATGGATCAAAGGAGATTACTGATGTGTTTAGAAGCCACAACATTGACAGAATAAAAGCCGGAACTAACAATCCAATGGTAAATCTCTTTACTGTGGTATTTGCTGCCATTTCTGCTCCATAAGACACACCTTAACCACTTTGTCATGGTATCTGCAGTATTCTATTTTAGTCTAAATAGCATTTTCTCTCAAATGCATTCTATTTCTCTCTCCTTCATCTTCCCTCCCTTCTTTCTTCCAGCTGTATTTTTTCACTGGAGAACATTAGTAGAATGTTCTCCCAAATTTCAGATTTCAGATACGCATCTGTAAAATAATCTTATGGAGACACATTTTAATTGCTACTGAATACTTGGTTGTTTTCATAAGTTCGCAGCATTACTACTGCCTCCAAAAAACGGTTTCCCATTTCCACAGCTAATCTCATCATTGACTCTGCCATCCAAGTTTATTCTGTGCCACTCTGGAAGAATCTGGAAAAATACTTAAAATACATTTTAAGTATTCATCATGCACATGTATTGCATTTTATTTTATATATGTTCAGGTGAATATCTTTCTCCACTAATTGTTTGCATTTCAATTCTTGTATCATGTTTTTTGAAACACAGAAGTCCTCATTAATATAAACCTACTAATTTTTTTAATTGTTAATTTTTGTCCTGGTTAAGAAATCCTTATGAGAATATTGTATCATGTTCCCCTTACCTTCAGAACTGGAATCTATTTGGAAATGACTGTGTGTGTTTTGAGGTAGGAGTCAATATTTAGTTATTTTTTAAAATTCAATTAATCCAGCATTGTTCTGACCACCTTGTGTATTTCAATGTAGAAGAGCACACTAATAATGCAGGATTATTTATCTATGTGGTGAGAATTCCAAAATGAAGCCCAGCATGGAAGGTCAAATAATATTAACTCAAAGGATAGATTAGTAAAATGAAATGTGATGGAGAAGTGCAATATAGTTAGGTAAAGAGAAAGAAAAACATTTCCCAGCTATCATTAAGACTTCACTCCAAGCTTTTGCATGAAGCAAAAGATCCCGACTCTCTTCCATTGATTTTAACTCCATTCAGACATGTCTGTCATCTATTATTTCACTCAGTGGCAGTCAGAAATAAAGAAAAAAAAACAGAATATATTTTATGCCATGATCATGAATGATGATTTTTCAAAAATTAATAAAGAACCAAAACATATACTTTTAGTGTTTTTACCATTTTTAATAGTAACACAATAAATGAGTTTTAATAACATTAGGAGGCAATTCAAGACATAAAACAGAACCTATTTGTCCTGTTTGATAAGGCACAAGGAAGAGGGCTTCCTGGAATAAAGGGGTTCTCACAGCAGATGAACACATTTCTGATTTATCTCTGGTCAGAGGTGAATACACCGAAAGGTAGGCCTGAGAGGAGGTGAGAAGGAGCAATTAGGGATGGTGTATATAAGGCAGCTTTGATTAACATCAACGAAGCTCACAGTTCTAGCTTCACAATCCAGGAATAATCCTATGTGGCTGGTAGGTCTTGGGATATATTGCAGTGTAAGTGGGGAGGTGGTAAAGAGACTGCACTGAATGTCATTCTTGGCACATCCAAGACTAAGGAGTCCCTCCTCTCCATATATATTGTCATTCGTATTCTTCCCTTTCCAGTACTTATTACAGACACCAAAAGCCCAATTCCAAGAGTCCCCCACATGGACCTCCCAGTAATATTTGCCGGAGGTGAAAGTCTGAGCACCCCATGCAAGAAAACTTGTAGGTGTTGCAGTGATATGGGGCGGATTTGGACGGTCACATCCAATACACATGCTTCTCAAATCTCCACATCGAAAGATATGACTGTTGGCTCATCGTGATTCAGAGTAATATCCACTGCAAAAATAAATAAATAAATAAAAGAGAAAGAAACAAAACATGCATAGACATGTGTCAATAAGCAAAAATTGTTCTATCAAGAAGTTAATTTACCAGGAAATGTAAAGTCACAAGGACAATTTTGCTTGTAACTTCTAATAAAGCATAGAGATGATTAATTTTAACTACAAGACAAACAAAACAATAACCACAGGTATTAAAAATGGTTTGAAAACTTACATATTGAGAGCCAAATGTAAGGACCAACTTCTTTCAACCCAATTTTCAAAGCAAAATTTGCACATTATATGCCCTAAATAGTATGCTGTTATCAAGATTATTATTTAGAAATGTTTCTTATTCTTAAAAACTAGTGCTATCATTTTGGAAAGAATGTGAAGATTTTCAGTTACTCAAGAACTGCTCTTGATGACTGGATAAAAATCCGTAAGTACATGTCATAAGTGACAATTTAAAGCAGATTTCTGTAAAATCTTTTACCAGTCTCTCTGTGGTCCTCCATGCTAGCTTGGGGCTGAAAAGCTGGATTTTAAACTTAACCTGTAGCTTTTCATATTGCAATTAAACTGAACTTCTTTTTGTTTGTAATTTTACTTGTATTCACAAAACGATTTCTTGTTTTTATGTTTACCCATTAACTAATTTTTTTTACAATTCATGATAAACATCCATTTAAAAAATTTAAAAACCCCAGCAATCCCCATTAAACCATAATCCCCAAAAGAACAGTTCTTAGCTGTTCAAATGAATACACTAAGGAAATGTAAAATTTTGTATTTAACATTAACTAACTCACCTTCATTCTGAGCATTGTTCCATTTGCTCCTTTTTAAAATTTGCTACACTACTGGTTTTTCCCATTACATTACTCAGTATATATGAGGCCAAAATGTATTTGTTTTTCACTATCTTTCAAACTTAGTGCTATAAATCTGACTATACAGACACAGATACAAAAGGGTTGCATGATTATGTTGTTCACTTATGTCTATAAGGAAGTAAAATATCTGATAAAGGGTGAAATATTACCTATGTGGTCCTAACAGTAATAATATTTAGATAGTGGAAGTGCTGTCTATGGGTGGAGACTTACCTCAGAATTGGATGAGCCTGTCCCTCAGTCCAGTGATGGGCCCTGCACTGAGCTCTAGATTCAGAGGCTGGGACACGTGCAGCAGCACGGACTCACTCCTGGAAGGAAAAACCTGCAGTTACAACATCTACAGCCATAAAATAAATAAAAATCACTATTTCTATTTAAAAGCCAGTTCATGAGAATCCTTTGAATCCACAAATTGGATTATTCAAAAATTATTACTTCCTTTTTGGAATTAATTTCTATTTACAGTTTCCAAATTTTAAAGCATAGTGGGAGAGTCTGAGTCAGAATTCAGTCTGATCTTTCTTTTTTTCTGCCCCACATGTGTAAGGTTCCTTAGCCTTATGGCCTTCAGAATATTTGGAAATGAAATTCTGAGTTCCACTTCTTGGCAGACTCCCCTGACATCTTTGTCTGAAATAGCGGGGTTCTGGGGAGACTGCTGCATCTGCTGCTTCCTTTTCAAGATAAAGAATGTGAAGTTTGTTCTAGGCAGCTAGACCTGCCTTTTAGAAACAAGAGACTTCCCTAGAGACTTATACAGTTCTAACACTACACAGTTTCTTCAACATATTTTTCAGGACTGTTAACTGATATGTATGTAGGTATGAACAACAAATCATCAACTTTTTCACTGCTAAAATACTTCCCCCACTTCTCTCCTGCTTCCTCTGGTGACTTTCTCACCATCCACAAAACAAAACTTTATCTTTCACCTATGCAGGCTTTTAAGCAATAAAACAAAATCAGGAATAAATATTTTTTTATTTCACTATTTATTTATATATTTATTTGTTTATTTATTTATTCATTTATTTGTTTATTTATTTATTTAGTGTTCTTGTCTTTTCTGGTGTGAGAGTGAAAGCAGATGCAAAAAAAGGTAGTATCAGTATCTTAATCATTTATACCATGACTTTGGTAGAGCCTGCTTTGATATTCATGGAAACTGAAAGAATATATGCCAAAATCTAGGTAAACACTCACCTGTGTAATAGGTCTCCAGAACCCTGTAAAAAACATAGAAGTATGTAGGACATTTCACAAGATGCATCTTTCACTAAGTTCAGTGTGAAATTTGGAGTCAGTTTCTAAAGATATTATTTCCCTACCATCTGGAAAGCATTTTCTATTTCTTCTGTAATAAAAAACCCAGTGAGTCGTTTTGTCATTAATTAATGTCCTGGTAAAGTCTGAGTCTTGAAGACGTTCTCTCCAGAAGTGAAGGGAGAAGAGGCCCAGAGAGTCTATGCTCTGTGGTAACTTCAAATAACCTACTCAGTCATCTTTCCCAGAACCTATTACCCAAATGAGGGGACCTCAAAATAATATTAATGTGAGCCTAGATTCCCAAAACTTCTGATCTTGCCATGTCCTCAAATTAACCTAAATGTAAACGAATCACTCACTATTTTATACATGTTAAACAACCCAGAATATATTATTGACTTAGAAATGATTCAGAAGGTGCATTTCTCTAACATGTTTGTACCAATATAGGAGTTGGTCAAGAAGAAGACTGACATCTTCAACAAGTGAATTTTACCTCTGTGTGCAGGAAACTCCAATTTATTGCCATGTCCAATGCAGCAGGAAAGCCAGAAAAAAAGTAGGAGGGACAAGAGTATTTGGCTTTAAGGAAATCACCTGGTGTTTCTCACAATGCTTTTTATTCCTGTCCTATAGGTTCAAAATTAGGCAGATGGGACACCAAGTTGTAATGTATCTGGGAATGCTGTTTACACTCTAAGCCATATTTATTCTTATCGTTTGATTCAGAAAACAAATTAAATGACTGGCACAGCTGAAAATAACCCAAGAGATTTGTTCAATGAAACAAAGCTGAACCTCAACCAAATAGATAAGCTGCTGTCTAAGGTTAGCACCAGTTCTTAGTTATTCAAGAGTGGAGTAAACCCTGCTTTTTACCACTGTCGAGGTGTCCAGTGTTGTCCTTTTTAGAGCCTGGCTAGCTGAGGATTATGTGGCAAGAAATATCTTATTTGTATTTTAGTCCCTTAAATGAACGATTTGGATAGGAATGATTCTCCAAATTTTGAAAATACTTATCAGAAATATTCTCTTATTCCTTCACTCTATGCCACGTAGACTATAATAAACTGTCTCTCTTCTGCCTCCACATATTTCATGCAGAAGATTAGGGTTTAGCAGAGAGAAAGCTTATCACCAGCTTCTTTTGGACTCGCTGCTTTTTTCCAAGTGATCTGAGATGATAAAATTACTCACCTTAGGGCTCCAACCCAGCACTCCTTTTTGATTGTCACCTATGTTTTGCGAGCTTTTCTGTTGATGCTAAAACTCTATGCAACAGTCAAAGCCTCAAAATTTAATTACATTATTTGTTGCTAGATTTCAAGGAAAAATTTATTCCTGACATTCTTCTACTTTAGCTCAGATTCACTTTGGCAGAAAGACAGAATTAGCTACTTTACGATCACTTAGTATTTGACTCTGATTTTGGAAGATGAAACAGTTTTTGTGTCTATTTACCACATTTTCTTAGCCATTTAACCAAGATAATCTTATCGTATTGATTCTCCTAGAGATACTTAATTTATTCTCTTCACCTATCAGAATTTATGTTAGAATATCACCAAGACTTACTTACAATTGAAATAAATCAAAGAGAGAACACTAAGAACATTGTCAATCATTAATACATAAATCTTGAACTTCCTGAGATTTTTATCCCTAAAAGAAGTTATTTATCAATAGCCTGGTTACAGTTTTTTTAAATACAAGAATTTTCACTCTTCTATGGTACAAAAAGTAAAAATTGATAAAGAGGATAACTTGGAAAAAAATTAATCTAACAAAACAGAGACACATTCTTGACTAGCACTTTATTTCTGTACTAAATTTAGGAGACATGTAAATGGTAGGTTTCCTAAGTGAAATAAGACAGACACACAGAGAAAAATACTTCATGGTCCCACTCATATTTGAAATCTATTTTTATAAGTTTAATACATTCAAAAAGGTGGTTATATTGGTGGGAAGAAAATAGGTAAACGAAGGGCAAAAGTTGTAAAGGTGCAGTAATGTAGAATAAATGAATCTGATGTACAACCTGTAGGTATATTAGATAATCTTATATTGTTTTTGGGAAATATTCTGAGGGACTAGATTTTTGGTGTTCTTATCATCAAAAAGAAGCAGAGCTAAGTGATATGATCCATTTGTTAATTTTCTTCATTATAGTAATCATTTCCTTATGCACATGTATCTCAAAGCGACATATTGTGCACCTTGAAAATATAAAATAAAACAAATTAAAAAATAAAGGTAATTTTGTTCCTGCATGTAAGCTGAAAATAAGTGAAGACTGGGTCAGTAATAACATTGCTTTGCTGAATTAAGAGAATTCTCATAAAATATTTTTAGTTGGGAAGCTATCTGTATGAAATAAAATTGATCTAAAGCTGGTTACAGTGGCCATACTTATAATCCCAGTGCTTTGGCAGGCCAAGGCAGAAAAATCAATGGAGGCCAGGAGTTTGAGATCAGCCTGGGCAATATAGTAAGACCTTATCTCTACCAAAAAATAAACAGAAAATTAGCCTTGAGTGGTGGTGTGCACCTGTTGTCCCAGCTTCTCAGGAGGCTGAGTCGGGAGGATTGCTTGAGTCCAGGAGTATAAAACTGCAGTGAGTTCTGATTGTGCCATTGCACTGCAGCCTGGGTGACTGCAGAGTGAGAACTTGTCTCAAAAACAGCAACTAATTATTTTTTGTAGCTATTTTACCTGAAAGGTATAATTCTTTCTTCTACAATTAATAAATCTGCATATGTCTAGGCCAGCTATATCAGGTAGAGCTTGTCCTCTAGTGCTTATAGATTTATAGATATAAATCTATAAAACAAGTAAGACAATTATAAGGAGGCTCTAAGCAAAACAATTTTTTCTCATTCTGGATTTTGAGGTCTTAATTCTTTAGACTAATTTTCTGTCTCAATAGTGGATATCACCCTGAAACTTAATTTGTCCAAACACCTCACATAACCTGAGATTTTACAAAACATATAGTTCATAGGATCAGTACGTTCTTATGCCTTAAAATTCTCCAGGCATTCAAGGATACTACTATGTGGAAACTCAGGCCTTCTACTGCATTATTGAAGAGCACATTTGAGACTCACAGCTCTGGTTGCAGGAGTCTCTTAACAGGTCTGGACAATGAGTAATGTCAGTCCAGATAATTCTGAGGAAGGCTTTCTGCCTTGTTATGAGGAGGATAATCAATGGAGACTCTAGACAATTTCCCAGTCACCATTCCAGCATTTAGTTGCTGTTTTTGTAATCCCAGCATTTTGGGAGGCCTAGGCAGGTGGATCACTTGAGGTCAAGAGTTCAAGACTGGCCTGTTCAACATGGTAAAACTTTGTCTTTACATAAAATACAAAATTAGCAGGGGGCGGGGAATGGGGAATATGCATTAGAAGGGAAGGAGAACATACTTAACATACCATTGGAAGGTGAAATTCCTAATACTTGAGAACATTTTTGAGAACTGTTTAATTCTCACTATAGAAAGATGTACCCTTTGAATGACATTAAAAATTCACTAGAAGAGTGAAGAATAATATTTAAAATGTCACATAAGTAACAAGAGTCTCAAAACATAAAGTGTTCTGAAAGGTTAAAGTACGTATTTGAGATAGAGGAGAGAATAATAGTTAATTAATTAGACTTTATTATGTGAAAAGACTTTTCTAAAATCTTCCATAATAATTGAAGATGTAAATTACAATAATTAAAATATACAAAAAATAAAAGCATTAAAATAGTGAAACATTTTAAAAAGGGTAAACTTGAAAATTATTTAATTTTGAATTTCAAAAATCAGAAAGTGATTTTATCAATGTCCTAAAAAATTAAAATAAAAACAAAATAATGTAAAAGAAGGGAGGTTTCCACCGGGCTGGTGGCGGGAGCTAGGGCTTCCCTGGGGACACAGAAGCAAGAAGCAGGGAACTTGGCGCGCACCAGACTTTCCCGGACAGATCCTCGGCCCCCCGCCCACCCCTCCGGCCGCCGGCATGGTACTGCTGGCTGGGACCCAGCCGCAGGGTGGGGGGCGCGCTGCATGACCCCGCCACCGCAGTCCCCACTCCTAGGCACACAGGTCGAGGAGGACCGCGCTGACTACAAAGAGTTCCAGGACTTCTCCAGTCTGCCCAACACCCGCAGCATCACCTGGGACGACTCTTTCTACCCTTTCCAGGAGGAGGAGGAGCACGGCGTCGAGGGCGTGGAGAACGTCCTGGAGGAGGGCGTCCTGGAGGCGTGGGGCTGCTGCAGACGTTGGTGCGCCGGGGGGTGAGCGTTGAGAAGGCGCAGGAGACTGACCACAATGGCTAGACCGACCTTGATGTCGCCTGCTATCACGACTTTGTGGATATACCCTGGTGGCCTTAGCTGAGTGCCCCCACATTGAAGTCAACTGGCAGGACAGGGAGGGGAACGCAACCCTAATCATAGCTGCACAGGCAGGAGCTGCCCTTGGCCCCATGGGCACAGTTGCCTTAGACACTGGCTCTCACCTTTGTGCTTCCTGCATCAGCATCACCTGGCATGGTTCATTTGAGCTTTAACACAGATCTGGTGGAAACACAGGCTGCCAAGCCCTGCCCCTGGAGTCTTTCTTTGAATAGGCCTGGGGTGGGGCCCAAGAATAAGCAGAAGAACAGGTTTCCTGGTGAGGCTGATGCCGCTGGCCCAGGGATCCCACGTTGAGGACGGAGGTCCTTGAGGTTTTCATGCCTGATGATGGCCAGGAACCCTTCTCAGTAGGCATTGAAGACCAGCAGAGTCCCAGACCCCAGGAGAGTTGTCGTCAGACGGACACAGAGGCATCACGGAATTAAAGTGAAAATGAAGAAAGGAGCTGAGCATCTGTTTCATAACTTTCCTGCGCTGTTTTACTAAAGAGGCTGTTCTGGCCCAGTCAGGGCACTCTATCATCACCAACTACTTGTTGAACTATGTCCTGGGTCTTGACCTTGAAGGATGCACGCGTTCGGGTTGAAAGCCTCCATGCAGGGTGGAACCGATCGCATCCGAGCCCTGAGCTAGCAGGGGCGGGTGTCCACGCGAGGGCCCCCGCCGTGGGATGTCGCCAGAGGAGTGGCCACTTACACGTCCGCCTCATGCAGAGGCTCCTGGAGCGCCCCTGCCAGCAGCGGTTGGGGAAAAAGTACCAGCTTGAGCTGCCTCCGCTCCACGAGAGGGCGCGGAAGCCCAAGGGCTCGAAGAACTGCCTGCAGAGGGTCAGGGACTGCGAGCTGTCCGTGCTGACGCGGCGTTCCGTGCGTGGCCCGGAGGACCGGGGCGCCCTGGACCACATGGTCAGGATGATCACCAGCCTCTAACAGCCCCGCCGTGGCCCTCGCGTGCCAGACCGTGTGCCCCCAGAGCTCCCTGTGCGTGGGGAAGAGGCGGCTGGCGGAGCAGGAAATCCTGGCGGCTGAGGAAATTCTGGCGACGCGGCGGGGGGTGGGGAGGCAGGCGCAGGAGGCGGACGAAGCGGAGGGCGCAGAGCAGCACAAGCGGCCCTGCCCAGAAGCCGCGGGCTCCCGGCAGGGCTCCCCAAGAGCCGGCCTCCCACCTGCCCCGCTGCCGGGGTCCTGGGGCTCTGTCGACCCCGCCCCGCGGAAGGCCAGCCTCCTGCCCCTGCAGCGCCTGCTGCGGAGCAGCTTGCGGCCTGACGTGGTGGTGCCCCGGATCCGCCTCAGCAAGGCGCCCGCGCCCACCTTCCAGACCCAGAGGCCGGCGCGGAAGGGCAGCACCAAGGACAGTGGCCACCTGCGAATACCCAACTAGCCTTACAAGGTGGCCACGGAGGAGAAACCGGAGGCTGAGGAGGCCGAGAAGAAGCGCCAGGCCAAGGTGCAGGAGAAGCGCCCGCCGCCCTGGAAGAAGAGGACGTGAGAATCCGCGGGTGCTTGACACGGGGTTCGAGGGCAGGGTGAGGCCGCGGGGCTGAGCACCATGGCCGCTCCCGGGACCACCAGGCCGCGCGCGTTTCCACGCTGTCTTTCTAGAATGCTCCCAGGAAGGAGCTGGGGGAGCCACATCGATTCGCCTGACACCAGCCACCCTAGCAATCAGTACACCTAGCGGGCATGTTGCCTAAAAGGCTCCCTTTAGAGAACCTCAATTAAGATGTTTTTAAAGATCAATTTATTAGGCCGGGCGCGGTGGCTCACGCCTGTAATCCCAGCACTTTGGAAGGCCGAGGCGGGCGGATCACCTGAGGTTGGGAGTCTGAGAGTAGCCTGACCAACATGGAGAAACCCTGTCTCTACTAAAAATACAAAATTAGCCGAGCATGGTGGCACATGCCTGTAATCCCAGCTACTCGGGAGGCTGAGGCAGGAGAATCGCTGGAACCCAGGAGGCAGAGGTGGCAGGGAGCCAAGATTGCGCCATTGCACTCCGGCCTGGGCAACAAGAGCCAAACTCCGTCTCAATAAAAAAAACCTCAATTTATTAAAGAGTATTTTCTGTGTGATTTTGTATTTTTAATTGTTATCCAATTTGCCAAGTTTTACAAGTGATAGGGCCCCTTGTATCCAAGGCAGTTTTAATACACCTTCCTGAAGACCTTTTATTTAAAATACTGTTTCTAGCAATAAATATTTATGATATCTGTAGGAGTTTACACAGAAATCATGGGATTCTCTCCTTTTTGGCTGTTTGTTTTGGTCTTTTCTTCTCATTGTGGGTGCACATGCACACTGGATGTTTTTATTAATTAGATTAAGTGATGCCGGATATTTCTGTTTGATGGAGGGATTGACTCATTCAGCCACATGATCAAGTGAGAAAGAGATATCATATTTTATTGTATCTTTTTAAAAAGTATTATCCATACAGTCATATATTGGGGAAAAACATTTCTCATCAAATTATAAAACAATGCAGAGATAAGCATGTATGTATTGCTAGAATTAAACTCTGTTTAATCAAGGAGTTTTAGATAAACTGTATAGAAAATCTTTTACATAGTAAAAGTAGATATGAGGGAAAAGTGTCATTTGATAAAATGGGGGAAATGTAATAGATGATTACCAGAAATACAGAATTAAGCCATATATGCTCTTAAGTAAATCGAATCCAGACATCCTTCAAATGTAAAAAAAGGATGCAACAAGAGTAAGGAGCCCAGAATGATGCAAATTAAAATAGGGGGGAGGTGATGTTTAGAACAAGCAAAGAGAATGCAATGGGAAGCAAACTTATTTTAGGCAAATTCTCCTGCAGTGGACCAGACAGCCCTCTCTTCCAGACTCAGTTCCAAAGAGTCCCTTATGTGGGTATTTCTTTTATTTTTCCTTTCAGGACTGCACTTGGTGTTTAGTTCAAACTCATGCGGACCTCAAGGAATTTCCAAGACGTGGGGCCTTGGCATTGTGGCACCTTCCTGCCACACGTACATAATTCACAGCATTACCAAGTCACTGCGAGCTCCACGCTCACCTCTGTCAGCCCAGGACCCAGCCAGGCAGTGTCACATGGTCTCCCAGGCATGCCTTTCCAAGCCGGCTATCCCTGCTGCGAAAGTTCTGAAGGCACTGGTCCGGGGAGCTGAGCCCTGGGCCTGTCCTAAAGCTCCATAGGTGACTGCACTGCAGCCCACATGGAGAGCTGCAGCTCTAACACAGGGATTTTGAGAGGCCTCAGTCGCCTTGAAGTGGCACTTCCAGGACACCCATCCTGAGCTCTCACAAATGGCTCCACCTTCCCAAGAATGTCTAATTGTCATTGGAACAGCTAGTGTCTGGCACCTTCGCTCGGGCTGATGTGGCATCTGACCCTTGGTGGGTTGCCAGACATTCCTTCCTGTTTCTGCTGCCATGGGAAGTTGACACTGGGAATGGTATGGAGCCCCCACTTCTACCCTAAGCCTTGGGTGTCTGCTGCTTCCAGGTCAAAAATGGACATTTCTGGTCCTGACCAGCCACCACCACACTGTAACCGATGCTCATAGTCTCCAGGGATGTGTAGAATAGCATTGGTAGGACAGCAAAAAACTGGCAATTTCCCCAGGTCCCACGCTGTTCCAGAGTGGACATGTTGGATCCCTGTTCCCAATGTGTTCCAGCCTTACCCAGGTGCACAGGGTACCCTGGGGCCAGCACAGAGCTTGTCAAGTAATGCTCCTGGTGTCCACAAAACAGCTCCAGAGATACCTGCATTTTGAAAAGCCTGCCAAGCCAACAAGTATGGGGCAGGACCCAGATTTCTTTGGCAAATCCGAAGGTGAGCTGGCCACTTGCCTGGTGAGTAGAAGCTGCCTTTACCTGGCCAGTGTATGCAACTTGAGAGAAAAGGACAACTTCACGGGGGGGTCCTGGTGGGACTGGGAAGCCTGACCTCCCCCGGAGCTTTGGTATGGCCCCAATGGAAAGACTGGATTTTGAAAACCCACCAGACCCAACTGAAAGAAGGGTCATCCCTGATTGGATCCCAGACTCTCCCTGGTCTCTCTGGACTCACTCTAGACATGGCTTGCCTATGGGCAGCCGTTCCCTTTGGCCCATGAGGCAGGTCCAGGTAGCTTCTGCAGCTGTGTGCCTGGCTACTGGCCCAGCACTTCTCATTTTTGCCATGTGGAAGCAGATTTGCTAGTAGAGGAATTCTCCAAGTCAAAGGAAGTGTCACCAAGCCTCTTTCCTTGACCTATGGCGAGCCCATGCTCTTGGTTTCTTATTCTCTTTGGAGTGGGCAGCAGAGGGGACAAGCAGGCCTCCAGCCAGGCTCAGGGAGTGTGGGAGGGCAGGGAGAAAAGTCTAGATGATGGGGAACTGGAGCCACCTTGAGGGGGGTGTCCTGGGGTCAGTGTCGGGGTGATCAGATGAGCCAGTTTATATTTAAGCAACATTATTTTGTTCAATTATTTTGGGTAAGGGATTTCTCAGGGGAGGTGTGGTCATCTGGTCCCAGAGGTGGAGTGAAATGCCCACTCATCTTCCTGAGCCATTTGGAAGCCCTTTCTTCTAGCCCTAGGTACTGGTGACACAGGCTCCTCGGTCTCAGGAGGTGCACAGGCCTGTGGGGGGGGGGGGTGCAGGCTTCTTGTCACTTACCCACTCAGCACTATTGGGCATTAGGCATTCAGAGGTCTCACAGTGGCCTCTCTAAAAACCTGGTGTCCTAGGAGAACATTGATTATTTCTGTCTATTTTTGTTTCTTTGAACTGCTGCATTCACTCACTGAGGGCTCGCCCTCCCTGCACCCCTCATGTTGTTCAGGAAGGAAGGTCTGATGAGCATGGACCCCCTTCTCCTCTCCTGTCAGTTGCCACCACACTGTCCCCACTGGCTTTATCACCACGTTCTCCCACCCCTGTTGCCTCATCTCTTCTTCCTCATTCACCTTTCCTTCCTTTGCCTGTTTTCTTCTCCCAGTTGGTGAAGTTCTTTATCATCCCTGGCACCACCTACCCTGAGGTCTACCAAGGACAGAAAAGCAGGGGCCTCTGTGAGGCAATGTGGTGTTATCATGGTGGGACCTCCAGGCCCCCAGAGTGAGTGAACAGCAGGCCTGCCAGCATCTGTGCTGATGGCTAAGAATTCCTACACTGCCGTGCCCCTCCCACCCCCTTCTCTTTGCTCAGAAGGGAGACCAGGTTTGCTCTCTTGCAATGACAGCCCAGCCCCTGCTGTGCACAGGGATGGGGCTTAGGGTCCCTCCCTGCACCCTGATATTAATTAACTGTACATAGTGAATTTCAAGTTGACAGCTACCTTCTCAGGGATTTATATATAAATATAGTTAAAGGAAAAGCTAAAGTCTATTTTACTACTTTTTAGTGTTTGTGAACATTAAGCTTAAATTGGACAGGCTAAATATTTCTCAGACAATGTCGATGCTACTGATTACAAGTGAGATGGGTGGAGCTCGCCCCTTGGTGGAGAATTTTTTTGTTGATTGGAGATTGGGGACTCTGGCAGCAGAAATAGTTTGCGGTGGGTGTGAAGTCACTTCTGTCCCTTGGAGAGCCTCTTGTGGATGTGAAAGCATGTATCAACACCAGTGAAATCCACCTCCATGTGCATGGAGGCGGCTGATGAGAACACAAATGAGCCAGTCCTGGCACTTCCCTCCAGAACCGGGCACTCCTGGTCTGACGTTGGAGCATGTGAATTAAGAGTGACAATTTTTTCTGCTTGCTTCTGTGAATAAAGTGTTCTACAGTCAGCCAGCACTAAAGTCACTAGAAAGGAGGAGGGAAGAGCGTGGAGCCAATCATCTAGAATTACCTTGGTGTGCAGAGGCTGTCCCTTGGCTGCACTTGGGAAAAGCAGTGTGAAACATCCTGTGCCTCTTTCTTCTGGAGCTCCTCCTGACATCTCCTGGCAACACTAGAGGCCTCAAGACTATGGAGATCAGAATTTCAATCGCTTTGTCATCTCAGCATTGACCACTCCTGAGACCTGAGGCTTCTCCTGGGAGCAGGAGACAGGGAGTTCGTGATGTTCATTGGAAAATAGGATTTATGAATGCAGGAGGGCCGTGCTGGACCCCTCTGCCTTCTTCTCTCCCTGCTGTCAGCAGTGACCAGGTCTCCGGTGTGGAGGCGAGTCTGTTGTGGGTGAAACAGAAGCCCCTGGGGTAAGGCCAGATCCCAGGCCTGAAAAGGATGCAAAGTCTGCTGTTTCAGGCTGTCAGGAAGAATCGTGGGTACAAAGTGAATATGATGAAATGCATCCCAGAGAGGAAATGAATGTGCCGTCACTAAGAAGTGGGTCTGGCTGCCAGGTCTCTGGCAGCCCACCGGCAAGAGGACTACATCCCCTGCAGCCCTGCCGTCCACACTACATGATGTGGGGAGGCTGTCTCTTCACTCTTACCCTGGGGAACCAAGCCTGCTTTGAGGAGTGAGTCACAGCCCTGATGTGTGCCTTGCATTACTCTTTCCCCAGGTGTGCCTGGAGACTCAAGCTTGCTCATTTCTGTCCTGACACATCTCGCTGATCCTGCGGTGGTCAGAGTCCTCCTGTTCTGTGTCATCTCCTAGACATCATTAGTCTTTCACGTGATAAAATATGAGCACTTTTCTCTTTTATAGTATTTGGGGAAATTCTAACACACTCCCCAGGGATTTGTGCAGGTCCCTCTGGCTCCCATGGTGGGTAATTCTATGAATTCTGCACCTGGCAGTCAGCACTCCCCCTTGGAAGCCCCTGGGATCCTTGTTTCTGTGGGCCTGGTCCTTGGTTTCTACCCCAGTACTTTTTCGCTGGGGCCTGCCTAGAACTGCCTGGAGGGCCATGGTCTAGTGAAGGACAGGTGGAACCCTGAGCACAACAGATCCTTCTAAAACAACAAAGTCACCTTGATGACGACGACTGCAGTGGGTTGAATGCCATCGCAGCGGGCATGCTGGGAGGCGCCAAGGGCTTACCGCAAAAGCAGTTCTTCCCAAGGCACCCTTTGCATCTTCGCCTCCTCACCTCTCAGTGCATTTGGAACTTGCTTATGCGTTGGAATGACTTAAATCAGCTGCTCGTTTCTGTGCCCCTGCACTCACAGGTTCCTTCATTAACATTTTAAATAAGCGGCTAAAAAAACTCCTCTGGAGGTTGTTTTTGAAAGCAGGAAAAAGAAAAACACACACTACCTGAAATGATTTTACTAATTTTTGAGTGACTCAGCTGAAAGTCAGTGTTGCATACACAATTTCCTCATGCTGAGCCAGCTTGAAATAAGACTTGATAAAAGTCACGGCCCTCAGTAGCAGGCGGTGCCACTGTGGACAGTGTACACTATGGTGTGAGGGTATGCACAGGTGAGTGTAAGTGTGTTTACTCATACACACGGATAAACTGAAAGGACACCGGGCTTCGTGCTGGCAAAGGTTATGATGCTGCTGTAGCCTGTTATGGGCCCCGGGCAGTGTCAGATGGGAAATGCTTTGATGGCATGTTTTTCAATGTATATAATGGGGTCTCCCATGGCCCAAGGACTCACTATGAGCACTCCGCCCACTGTGGTGGAGAACACGGCTGGAGTCATCACAGCCTAGGTCTTTATTGAAAGGCAGTGTTGACCCAGAAGGCTCATGTAGAACCCATTTGGCCAGGTGTGGACCATCTCTCTCCATCTGACCTGCCTTGGCTGCACAGAGGGACCCAGACCCAAAAGGCCCAGACTCAAGAGGAAACTGAATGACGTTTACCATTACGTCAGCTTTCATTTATTTTTTCCATATGATCATAAGAACTGTATTACTAAGTATGTTTATAAATGCTATTTACAGTCTGTTCCCTTTTATTAGATGAAAGATTAATAAATAACAAAAAATTGCCTGTAGTAAAACCATGCCTGAGGCCAAGAGTGGTGGCTCATGCCTGTAATCCCAGCACTTTGAGAGGTCACGACGGGCAGATCACCTGAGGTCAGGAGTTCAATACCAGCCTGGACAACATGGCGTAACCCCAGCTCTACAAAATACAAAAAAAAAAAAATTATCTGTGCATGATGGTGGGTGCCTGTTATTAAAGCTACTCGGATGGCTGAGACAGGAGAATCGCTTGAACCTGGGAGGTGGAGGTTGCAGTGAGCCGAGATTGCACCATTGCCTTCCAGCTTTGGTGAAATAGAGAGAGAGGGAGGGAGGGAGAAAGAGAGAGAGAGAGAGAGAGGGAGGAGAGAGGGTGGGGGGAGAGAGAGAGAGAGAAAGAAGGAAGGAAAGAAAGAAAGAAAGAAAGAAAGAAAGAAAGAAAGAAAGAAAGAAAGAAAGAAAAAGAAAGAAAGCCATGCCTGAAGGACACTGTGTGTTCATCACTTCAGCAGGTTGACACTCACCTGGAGGTCATGAAATCTGTCCATTAGTCCAGTGATGGGTTGAGCACTGAGCTCTGAGCTCACACACTGGGGCATGTGCCGCTGCTCTGACTCACTCTTTTAAAGAGGAAAATACAATTGAGCTTTCTAATAGCAAATATTTCATCACAGGATTTAAAAACAAATAATCATTCAAGGGAAATTCGTCTTTAAAACCCTTTCCTGATGTAGCAGTCCCAAATCGTAGGGATTACGAACTTCAGCCACTGAGCCTAGACTGACTGATGTATCCTACCAATAAGCTATGTACATAAACTCATGTCTTCCCACTTCTCAGAACCATGAAATCAATCATTCCTCCCTTTCTTTCATTTATTTTTATTGTTTCTTAACAATACTTGAAGCCAAATTTATTCTTTTCTTAAACTTCTTTTGTTCATTATATGACTTCCTAAAACACTCGAAGAAAGGTTATTATTCATCATTTCTTCAATATACACCCTTTGATATTGGACAACCTACATGAGAGTCATTGGAATTTATGGTGGTTCACAGATAATTTTTTGCAGTATTAAGTTTTTCAATTAGTCTTTAGTACCAAACCTCCCTACTCCATAGCCTGACCACTCTCTCTGAGCAGTAATCAATGCTGCATTGTACCCTCAGGATTGGAAGCCATGAGAAAAACCTTCCTCACAGCCTAACCAAGATGGTTTCCACTCAAGTGGTAAGTGGATACATTTGTAGCATGTCTGTCTGAGGCTGAATCTGAGGGAAAAGGCCTAATACTTACAATCCACTGGTTGGTTTTCCTGCTCTCCTCATTTAACTTTCTTGGTTTTCTTGAATTTTTGCCCAAAAAGATCTCACTTGCTTCATTATCGTCTCCTATAAAAGAACTATGAATTTGAACATCAGAGAAACAAATCGCTTTGGGTGTCAGACCCCCATTGATAAGGAAATCAAGGGATGAGATATAAAAGAGATTTGGGAAGATCTCAGACTGTAGAACCACAACATGGAACGCAACCAGTTTAATTGGAAAATCATAAGCAGGGCTAATTTGCAGATAATGTGGCATCTTGCATCAGAATTGGAATCTACTGACACCGTGCCTTGCTAATTCTAGCATATTTTATTCTATTATTTCCAGTGTTGGTAAATAATTTCCTTATATAGAAGGCTTTTGAACTTGTAGTTTAGATAGCCAGAAACTCTTTCTGATATTGAGCTCTTTACAGTGCCTTGAACATTAAACGAAATAGTCAAATTATTTTAATGATTATTAACTTCATCACTCCCTCAGTGAAAGGCAAGTTCCAGGAAGGAAGGTATTCTCACAGATTCCATTTAAATTTCTATCATTGATACCTAGGCACTACATGACATCCAGTACAGAACAGAATAATCCTCATGCTCTTCATCTTCCCCCTAATCTCTTTACCTGTGCCATCCTCCAGCTTTCAAAGTGCTCTCAGAATCATCACTTAACCCAGATTTCCTTAGTTGCCCCTCACAGTGTCTGGGAGCCCCTTGCTCCTGAGTGTTCCAGAACAGCAAATGAAGCAGGCTCTTATCCACCGCTCCAAATATCTTTTTTTCTCCCTGTGGATCCCACACATTTATTCATTAGAGCTCAGGAATTGCCAGAGACTGGCTTTTCTGGCAATGCACACTGGATTCTACAGAAGAATATTGGTTTTGACGTCCTCCTGCTGTGACAGTTCCCCGCATGTGGGCAGCAGGTAGGAATTTTGGCTTCTTCCCAGGAAAGGCAGAGACAGGGCCTACAGAAGCTGGGTCCACAGCCTGTGGTGATGGGGTCTACGAGTTAGTTCAGACAGAAGAGGCAGATGGGTTCTTTCTGGAAGGCTTGTGTGATGTCTGAGACCATTTTCCTGAAGGAAGGAAATTAGGAAAGGTATGATTAAAACTTCATCTTTTGCCTTGGATAAACAAAGACCAAAGCAAAATTTGACTCAGGTTGTGACTCAGTGATAAACTTCTGTCTAGAGTAGAACAGGCTTTATTTTGTCTAAGACAAAAATAGAACCTGAGACACAAAGAGAGCTCTTGGATCTGTAGGTAAAATTGTTGGATTCGTGCACAACTCACAGGGCACTACATCCTCATCCTACCATTTTCTTTTGCATAGAAAAATGAACCTCAGAGAGGCCAGGTGTGATGATTCACACCTGTAATCCCAGCACTTTGGGATGCCAAGGCTGGTAGATCAGGTTGGAGACCAGCCTGGCCAATATGGGGAAACCCTGTCTCTACTAAAAACACAAAAATCAGCCAGGAGTGGTGGCACATACCTGTAATCCCAGAAACAGGAGACTGGGCAGGAGAATTGCTTGAACCTTGAAGTTGCAGTCAGCTGAGATTGAGCCACTGCTCTTCAGCCTGGACAATAAAGCAAGAAGAAAGAAAGAAAGAGAGAGAGAGAAAGAGAGAGAAAAAAGGAAGAAAGAAAAAAGAAAGAAAAGAAAAGAAAAGAAAAGAAAAGAAAAGAAACCTCAGTTTTGTTGAGTTTTGACTTTACTCCAAAAAACTTCAGGTTTAAGCGTATGAAATTAGGACCAATTTATACCATTAGATGATGGGTCCTGAATACTCTGAAAACCATTCTTAATGCTCATTGTGATTGGATTAGAAAAGATTGATTCAGTACAAAAGAAAAAAAGTGATTGGTTTAGGAAATGGTATTTAACTGCAATTTTGCTCTTATTGTTTCATTTAGATGTCATAATTTTCTCCTTTAAAGTATTTCAAAAAATCTCAATCACAATCCACCACTGCAAAATGATTTCTAAATAACCATCATTTATTTACTGAATATTGTGAGATTTGATCAGATTTTACCCAGAAATGCTGAAGAGGCATTTACTATACTCTAAAACAATATTATCCTCAAATTATTCAACACATTACCTAAGTTGTATATTATAGAATATTCTGTCTTGTGCATATATTTATGTGCCAACTTTAGAACAGAGGGTATTACATTTGTGTACAACATATAAAATAAAATATTCTCAATAAAATTTAGGATATACAACAAGTATGAAATTGCAAGATATCTGAAAACTATTTTCTGTGTTCTTAGAATACATAGGAACAACTAAGGAATACATAAATGATACAAGTAAAATTAATCTTCACTGTGTTTCACAAGTATGTAGGAAGACAGGATGACAAAATAAGAGTAAAAACATTTTTACTAAGTAAGCAAATGACATCACTTATAGAAAGAAGCTCAGTTTGTTGAAAAATTAAACATAGGGCAGTCTGTTTTGGATTGGAAAAGTAGCAGGAACTCCTCCTCTGTTAGTTGTGTTCTCACCCTAGAAATATACTTATGGTCTCACTGAAACTTGCTGTAGAAGTAACACTATAAAGTCTGATCAGGGATCAGGGCCCCACCATATAGTGGTAGTAGCTTTCAGACATCTTCACAGCCAGTTCCAAAGCCACTCTGTGTGTCCCAGAAAAGAATGAACTTGGCTACTTGTACCTCTTTATATTGAATCTCTGAAAAATCACAGCCATTTCCAACAGGTTGTACATTTCTTGGAGTTTAGGATAGCCATTAGGGTTCTTGATTAGGTTTCACCAGAAGAGAGGAAATGATTGATTCAACACCTTGGCTAATCTCCATAAACAAACTTTGAACTCCCTCTTATCAAGAACCACTGAGTTTACAACAAATGAACCCTCAAGTGCCAAATTTGTAGATAATTTTTGGAGTCCTTTAATATTTTACTCATCAAAAGATGAGAAAGAAGATACCATCAATTTATGATTTTAATAAATGTCTTCAAAAGTCTGGAATAGTTTTTCTCCTTTTTCTTTTTTTTTTTTTTTTTTCTTATGTTTTTGGAAATGTTTTGCCTGAAGTTGGCTTTAATTCTAATAGTCACTGAAATAGACTGGAAATGCACTTTGCTGTTGCTTTCAAAGCTTGATTTCAGGTTTTAATGTATTACTGTCAATTTATATATATAATATATTTTATATATTATAAAAGTGCAGTGGTGCAATCACAGCTCACAGCAGCCTTAAACTGCTAGGCTCAAGTGACTCTTTTGCCTCATTTTCTCACAGAGCCGAAATTACAGACGTGAGCCACTGCACCCAGCCTATTAATTTATATTGTTGATAAAAGCATAAGAATTATCTTTATTATAAATTAAGAAACAGAATATCTTTAAGGAAATATTATATCTTTTAGGAAAAATAAAATCTTCAGTAGTTATAGACTCCTGTGAAAATGGCCATTACCAATAGCAATTTTGTGTATGTCTATATAACACATACATATGTAAATATATATAATATATACATGAATTTTTTCACATTTGGCAGTCATTTAAGAAATTCTTTTACCATATAAATTCTAATTTATATTAGTGAAATAAGTAAAATTTGCTGTTTAGTGAAAACTTTGTGTAGCAAGTGAAATGAAGCTGCAGAAAGTGTGAATTGGATAATAGATATAAAGATATGTCATGAAGGCTTCACAGATGGACAAATAGAGGTAAACTAGGAGAGTGATAGTGACATAAGGAGGATGAGAGTATCCTGTATGTCCTTTATAAACAGCATAATGTGTGATTGGCTGTAGCACACAGTAGAGCTAAGTAGAGAAGATGAGGAGAGTATATATTCAAGGGTAGAATGTTTGATAATTTTTTCAGAGTAAGCAAATGAATTGAATTCAGGAAGCCAAACAATCCCCATTTGGGATGTATAAAACATAAATTTACTTTGTTTTGAATGTGTAAAACAATATATTTTGGCTGATTTTTAGTATTTCTCTGTCTTTGTTGGCTGATTCATTATGATGTGTTTAAGCTTGAAACCACCACCAAAGATGAAGAATCTCTTAAAAGCAGCCAAAATAAACTGTTTCATTTTGAGGGAACACTTAATAGAATGACAACAGACTGCTCCATAATCATAAATGTAAGTATAAGACAGTGGACTAATATATGTAAAGTGTCAAAAAATGTGATTGCCAATACAGAGTTGAATATGGATTGGAAATACCTTTTACATAAGAGGATAAAAGGAAGATCTTGTCACATAAGTATAATAAAAAAAATAAAGAGGCTTTATACCCTACTAAGGGCATCTAGAACGGTACCCATGAGATCTACTTGAAAGATAATTCCAACACCTCTGCCACATTTGAATCTGGCTTTATTAACTGCTTTTTCTCTTAACAGTGTTTTCTTTATGTATCTTTTCTGTTTCTATATATGTCTGGTAAGTTTTACTCAAAAAGTGAACTATGTAGAGTAGACATATAGAAAGCAAAACCCGCATGTGTTCCCTTTTACTAGGCTGTATGTGTGTGTTTTGAGGGAGAAGGTTGAATCCATCTAGTCAGGAGTTGATTTGGTTTTGAGACTTGTTCTTCTTAGAGTTAATTCCAGTGCACCATAGGTTTCCTGCTCATCTAGCATTACTCTGTGTTTCGGATGGGACTGGTTCAGCAGCTTTTCTCAGCATCTGCTGTATCTTCAACTTTAAGTTTCACTCCAAATTCCGCGCAGTCCCCCAGAAGGCACTGCTTTGACCTGTTACTCAACAATTTTTTGCCTAGTTGGGGGTGGCGATGAGGATGGAGAAGCATTCTCTGTCATTCTGATGAAGCTCAGTCACAGGTTGACACTGTTTCTGGGTCTTCATGGTTGAATCTTCTTAATGAACAACTAATAAGTTTAGAATTTAAAGACAAATGTATGATAAGTTTGGAACATAGTTTCTCTCTCTATCCAGTCATCCTTTTTGTTAAAAAAACAAATTATGGTAGTACTGAGTTGTTTGCAAAATAGACTTTAGTCTTGTTCTTGGCCTGATAATTTGCACAAAGTACAGCAAGAATAATTGTTTCTACATAGGCCTTTTGGATTGGCTCTGATGGAACTCTGTTCCACAAGGAATCTCGGATAAGACCTTTTAAAGTAGAGCTCAGCCATGAGTTTCTATCCTCAAATACTTGTGAGTTGGGTGATCCTCGTCTCTTAAAGTCCCAAGAAAAACTTGTAGCTCCTAGGCTTGTTAGAAAGTGACATTCTCTACTGACCACAGGTCATGGACTCTGTACAGGGACTGTGTAGATGGGTTTATGGGGCCAGTCTAAAATGGGGCTTTTACCAGCTCTGTAAGTCGAGATTGACTCTTTAAAGGGAAGCATACCCTTCCAGTCAAAGCCTTGGTAAAATAACCACTTTCTCCAATTGTGTCCGCTTTCTAAAAAATATTGGGTTATTATTGCACTGATGCAACTATATTGCCATAAGTTAAGAATACTCAGAGATAGTTTCCAAATTCTAGAGGAACCAGGCAGAGAGAAACAAACATGCTCCAAATCTTGATCACAGGATATATATACCTTACTCAATTATTAAAAGTCATAAATAGTTCAAAATAAGTTTCCTTGACTCTGAAAAACAAAACATAATCAGCAATGTTCTAAGCAAGGTTAAAAGATTGTTTCAATTTTCTGAGTTCAGTCCATTTAGTTAACTCTTGTTTTGCCTGATGTTCATGAACATTTCAGCTCTTCATGAATCCTGTACATGTTCTATTACTCCAATATCACAATCTCCAAAGTCATCAGAAACTTATATTTGAGAGCATGAGAACTTGTCAGAGTTCTATAGCTTATTATAAACCATCTTTTGAAAAGGATTAAAATAAGACAACAGTAGTCTGTGAATAGCAAAATGTCCAGGGTAGTTACAGTTAGAAACATGATTGACAAAGAAGTTTGGTGATATATCTCATTTACAATAACTTAACAACCTTAATTATGATTGACAGCATATACTCAAACATTAGAATTTTAGAAATCTCCTACAATTTTGGAACATATATTAGCATTGTTCACAAAAATAAAACCTAAAGGAGACTGAACATCATTTTGACAATCCCATGTACCTAAACATGTCAAATAACCCTGTTTACCTCCCTTTTCTGGACACTCCAGGGGACCTCTGAAGTATCTGAAAAACCAGGTGTCAGGAAAGACAATTTTGAAACTGAAGTTTGATTTTGGGAAGGCTGTTATATATTTGAGGTTTAAAACACTTTATGTTATGAAATAGAATTCCAGATTACCATACGTTATTTATTTTGCCAAAATGATGACTCAGAAATTTTAAAGAAGCAAAAACCTTTTATACACCTTTACAAATTTTCCTTAAGAGTACGTTAGTGCCTTAGGAATACCTTGTTGTGCTTTTATTTCAATGCTCAATTTACATAAAAACCATGTAGTAGCCTTTTGAATTTAGTTAGTATGTTCACACAGAGAACCTTAAGAATACCTTGTTGCCTTAAGAATACCTTGTTGTGCTTTTATTTCAATGCTCAATTTACAGAAAAACCATGTAATACCCTTTTGAATTTAGGTTAATATGTTCACACAGAGACCCTCTTCTGCGAGGTTAATTTCCATAATCTTTCCACCACTTATTTGAAACTTCAGCTTTACCTTATCCAATTTAAAGCAATCCTTTAACCCTAGACAAAAATTTACATTTCCATGCTTTTTATAACCTTTTACTAAAAAATACATTTTACCGTTCTTACATACCTTGTATGTAAATTTATTTCCAATAGTCTCAGTGACATGTTATAATGGTAACTCCTAGCAATTTTTAAATTTAATGTAAAACCTGGTAAGTTGTTTTAATTGTGTGCTAAGGGCAGCCAAGTTTTGATTCCCAGCATTATTAAGGGCTGAGTTAGTTCCATCTGTCCCCAGGCCTTACCAATGTGAAGCTGGCAAGTTAAATAGTTCTCAAAATGCAAAAAGCAGTTTATAACCTCAAAACACTTATCAAAGCTTGCATCTGACCAGCATAATTTAGCCCACCTATTTATATTTTAATGCCACCTGCACTTTACCAATAATCTTTAAGGCTGTTTTTATTTCTCAAAGATTAAAGTCACATGAACTGAAAGGTACCACAGCTTTTATCTTCCCTTTAAAAAATATTTGATCCAAGCCCGTGTCTTCCTTTAGGCCAAATTAATTAGAGCTCTTTTTACAGACATCACAACACAACACAAACATAGACAGGCAGAAGAAAATCCAGTCCCCACAAGATCCTTTTCACAACCAAAACTTATAGAGAATATACACAGGGATCATTATCATTCCTAGCCTAGCAAAACATCTTCTAAAAGAAAAAAAAAAAAAACTTTCAAAGTTAACTGCTGATGGGAGGAGAAGAGGGAAGAAAAGACAGTTCAAAAATGCCTGAGGAAAAAAACTCTTATTCTCTTGCAAGATGTTCCTCCACCAGGGAGAGAAGCTTATGCTTAATTGCTGTCCAATGGAGTTGAACCCCAGTGCCTGGGGGAAACAGCAGTGCAGGGCCCTTGGCCCATGCATCCCAGTCCCTGGCAGGGAGGAGAGAGTAGCGAGGAAAGTGGGGAGCCACTGTTGCAGGTCGTCCAGAAAAAGAAAGGAAAAGGACCTGGAGCCTGGAGCCGAGGCCAAATTTCCTGACTCCCAGGAGCCATGCGGGTGGGGGCACAGTTTCCCCTCTTTCAGAAGTCCAAGGATGAAAAGCCTTAGAAAGGACAGTGAGAGGTTTTGAGTCCCCATTTCACTCATTGCTTATCAAGCCCCTATATTGTGCACCAAGAATGTTGCGGGACTTTTTCCTTAGTTCAGCTAAGAGCTGGGTCCTTATGACACGGCCATGAAAAACTAGGCTTGCAGATTATTTGAAGGGTGCTCATAATGGGATTTATTGTGCAAAAAGAGAAAGAGGGGGTAACAGGGACTCTATGCAAGGCTAGAGTTCATTCTAATGTAGGCTTCCCACTTCACAGATTGAATTCCAGATTCCACCCAGGAAGAGGAGGGGCCAGGCTCCTCCCCACCGCAAACACTTTGAACTTCTGTGGCTCCAGCTCAATGCGCAGTTGTCCCAGTACCTAGGCCGATTAGATTTTTGGCCGGGAGCTGTTCCCACATGGCTGTCTCAAAAGTTTGTGGTGAAAAGAGAAAGAAAGTAAAAATATGAGATACAGGAAATTAAATGTAAGGTAAATCTTCCCCTGAAGTAAATATTAAAAATTTCAACTTTAAAATAATAGACGTAATATAAATGATATGAGAGAGCCATACTCTAAGGTCAGGCTTTCACCCTATTCTGTGGGTGAAGATTCGTTACCCATAGATATGGAGAACATTCATATTAAACTGACTTTTCCAACAGTTAGAACCAAGTCAAAGAGCAGGTATTGTTGAAATGATGTCAGGCCCAGTTTCACCTTAAGGAAGTAATTTTCGGCCAATCACTTTTCTAAAAGCATTTTTGACATCTTTGTTCCTTAGACTGTAAATTAGAGGGTTCAACATAGGTATAATCAAAGTATAGAACACAGAGGTCACTTTGTCAATATCCAGTGAATGGCCAGTGCTGGGACGCAAATAAATGAAGATCAAGGTACCATGATACATAGTGACCACAGTCAGGTGGGAAGCACAAGTGGAGAACCCTCTTCTTCTTCCCTCCACAGAACCTGTTCTAAGAATAGCTGCCATAATGAAGACATAAGAAAGGAGAACTGATAGAAGACAGATTGCTTCCACAAAACTGGCAAAGACCACCAGAATGATGTCATGCATGTATGTGTCAGTGCAGGACAGAGAGAAGAGTGGGGAGATATCACAAAAGAAATGGTTAATATCTCTGGAGCAGAATGACAGATGGAAAGTGTTCGTGGTATGAATAATTGAGCTCATAGTGCCCCCCAAAAATGCTCCAATTGCAAGCTGGCAACAAACCTTCTTGGACATAATCACTGTATAGAGCAGCGGGTTACAGATTGCTATGTACCGGTCTTAAGCCATGGCAGCCAAGAGGAAAGATTCTGTGTCAACTAAAGAGCAGAAGAAATATAACTGTGCAACACAGCCATTGTAAGAAATGGTCTTCTTTTCAGAAACCAAGTTCACAAGTAATTTGGGAGCAATGACAGAAGAGTAGCATGCATCTATGAAGGACAACACACAGAGGAAAAAGTACATAGGAGTGTGCAAGTGGGAACTGATTGTGATTAATAAAATCATTCCAAGGTTCCCCATCAGAGTAACAGAGTAGATGGAAAAAAATTCTGCAAAAAGGAGACTCTGAAGTTCCAGATGGTCGCTGAATCCCAGGAGAAAGAACCCAGTCTTCACAGTGCCATTCTCCAGCTCCATTATCTGCAGTGCTTCTGGATTTCTGGAGCTGTCACAAAATGACAAAACAAATGTTAATGATAACCTGGACACTGGCAACATTGAAAAAGATAAAGAAAACAGAAAGGTCAAAATCAATAAAACAGTGATTCTAAAACCACTTAGGCATCCTGATACAACTAGGCATGTCTATAGGTAATGTAGTGTAATGCATCAGTTTTTAATTATTTTTTAATTAAACCAATAAGTTACCTCCTCTATTCCTTAATACTATTGTTTTCCACATTAAATTGCACCATTATCAAGCCAGTTGCTAAACTCTAAACTTAGCCTTCACTCTTAATTTCTTCAACTCTTTCATCTACCACTAATGTTTAGAAAAAGTGGCTAACCATCTTGTCATGGCAAACCCTAAATAAATGGCCTCTGTGCCTGTCTCCATTATCTTTGTTTGTTTCTACCACCAACTTGTTGCTGTTCCAGGTGAAGCCTTGTGAATGGAGGAACAGAAGCTCTATATTTCTCACGTGGAGATGTGGCATCCTCTCTGAGGAGCAAAGGAAATCCTTAGGGTTGTTTGATGACCAGTGATCAAAAGAGCAAAGTTTCTGAATTTTTTATTTCAGTGACTGAGTCCAGCCTTGTTACTCAGTAGCTCTGTTATTCAGTAGCTGTGAAACCTTGGACAAATTACTCACTTAGTTTCAGTTTCATCAACTATGACAATGATAGTATCTTTCTCATCAATCATAAATGTCACATGAATTTCCTTCCATAGCCTCAATATCCTCACCATCTTGTTCATTCACTTTTATAAAGTAGCAAGATAGCAATTCTGGATCAATCCAGAAATTTGTGTGTGTGTGTGTGTGTGTGTGTGAGAATCTGGAATCCAAACTATGGAAGGAATAAAACTGCATAAATCTTTATGTTTCCAAATACACCATATTCATCCTGGCATGTCCATGAATGATAGCAAGGAATATTTCCAGGCTCTTTGTAGTGAAAAAGTATTAAAACTTAAATATGCTTACCTATGTAACCCTCTGAGTTATCTCAGCTTTGACTGTCCTTGCTCTAGTTTGCAACTCTGAATTTTATTAATAGGTAAGTGACAGCAGTGCAAACACTTGTGCACACACATGCAGATTTTGTCCAGTGAAGAGACAACTGATTTCCCTCCAGCTGATACTATGGTTTTTGGAATTCTCTTTATTACCAGTTATATCAGTATAATTAATGTTCTTTCTGATTATGATAAAAAGGGGTTTAAGTTTTTTGAGACAAAAGTCCTATTTTTGTAGGCTGAAGTGAGAATGTGTAAACCAGTGTAGATGCCTATAGAGAAACATTGCAATGAATAAGGGAAACTAAAAGGGAGTAGATTTGAGGTAATATTTTTACAGATACATTTGACATAAATATCATGATATGCTAAACGTTTATGACTTTTAGTAATAGTATAGGTACTTTAATCGACAAAACACAGTTGAAGAGATTAACCTCAGAGAGGAGGGGCACACTCTCCCTACAGATGAGAAGAAGAAAGGGAGTAACTGATGAATTCACATGTTTATACCATAACTTTGTAAGTAAGTTGAGTGTGTGCTTATTTCCTATTCTTTATTTTTCTCTGTAAAATATAAACTATTTTCTAGCAATGAGAAGAAAGTGGTAGAATGAGGCCTTAGAATATTGAATGTTTGAAATAGCTATTAGGGAGACAGTTGTGTGTAATATGAAATATTAAAGCACAATTATATATGTATATATAAATATAGATAAAGATATACAATTTAAAATTAAGATTCATACAAATATAAAATGAGCATGTTGCACAATTTTATTTAATTCACTTATCATACTCAGGAAGAACATTCTAGCTTTCAGACCCAAAGATTTTTCAATGTGTAACACACTTTATTTCTCCATATCATGTGATAGACCTCTCCTTTCTTCTTAAAATTTTCTCCTCCCCTTTCTTCTTCATCTTTCCTTTCTTCTTAAAATGTCCACCTCTTGTGGCTTCTATACACGTATCTTGATTTCTTTCCTAATCTCAATATGCCCCTATTAAGCCTCCTTCACGTGAGTAACAATTTCTTAGGACTTTCCTCCCCACCATGCATACTCTCTGTAGTTAATTCTATGCATTTTCTTAAAAATACAATTTATACAGTGATCGTTTTTCATATATCCAATCCAAAATCACCTGTCCATCTCAAAGTTGGCTACAAAATAGGTACATTTTAGCATGTCTAAAATAACACTTAATTGATATCACCTCCTACAACTTAAGCCTAATCTGTAATACATCTTTGTATACATGTTTACCACCTATATTCCTGGTCCAAAGAAAAAACTTCCCTCTGGCTAAAACACAACCAAGGTCTATTGATTCACTTTGGAAAATGTGGAAACTGTTTAATATCTCTGCTTTATTATGACTGACATTCCATTATTTAACATCACTCCTTTTCCCCCATTTGAACCCCTTAATTGGCCTCATTCCTCTAGTCTCTCCCCAACCTACTTCCAAACATGCTACAAAATCTATATGAATGCCACTATACAGTTATCTGTACAAAATATATTTTGGTCATGCTGCCTTCTTGCTTAAACCCTTAAATGATTATCTGTTTCCTACAAGCTTGCATGTAAAAATGCCAGATTTGACATATATTCTCTATTTTATTTCATATTATCCATCCCAGAACCCGATATAACAAGAGTACTAAAATCTTAAATCTCCTGTTTTTTCCTGCCCTGTTTGTGGCAAGTTTTTGATATAACTAAATATACATATTAAAATTTTATGTATATTTAGAGTTAATAAGCAGAAAATTACTATTTGAGAAGTTATTCTCTGGGTACAGATAATGAAATGTAAATATAATAACCTCGGATTCTGGATTATTACTCCATGTTTATTTTTCTACCTTCTGTTTCCAGCCAGCTAAATTAGATGAGGTCTGGGTATGTGTGGTACACCTGGCATTAACAATTTGAACTTGTAATTCTCAAAGTTCTTTTAATTATAATTTAACTCTCAAAGATCTTTAAAATATGTTAAGGATTCATTGTTTCTCCATTTCATAAAAAAGGAATTGATAATTGCAAGACAATTAATGAATCCGGGTTTACAAAGCTTTACACTGAAAGACCCAGGGCTAAGGATTAGAATTCCTGTATCACTGGGCTAGTGCACTCTCTAATAAATCTTGCCTCCCAGAGATGCAAATGAGGGAGAGATGGCAGAGCTGAAAAAGAAGATTAAGTGTATGATGTCATCTCCTAAAAAAAGATCTATGTGCTAAATTTAATATAGGGCTATTTGTTTAAGCATTAGTTAAAATGTGTTTGATGTATATGCTACAACAGAAAGGTTTACATCTTTTAACATAGAAACAGAGGCAGTATGATGTGGTGAATAAAAGCAAGGTCCCTGGAGCCAGATGGCCTGGGTTTAAATCCTGGCTCTACCATTTAAATTGTGTGACTTTAGGTAAATTTTCAATAATCCTCTGGTCTTCATTTTCTGATATGTAAATTGCATATTATAGTAGCACTTGCCTACAGGGTTATGTTGATGATTAAATGAGCTAATATTAAATGATGATTAAATACCTAAAATAGGAAGGTATTTTAAAGAGTGCTTTTCACATAGCAAATATTCAATAAAATATTAACTACAATTATTCCAACTTTGGGACAAGTTTATTCTTCACTAAAAATTAATATTTATTATTTTTTGATCAATCAGGATTCCCTCTTACGCTTTAAAAAGGGGACTTAATTGGAGAAAGAAAGCATCATTGAGCTACCAGTCAACTCTTTGGATTTCTCCTTTACTGAAATACATGTGGTTTCCACCTGAGAAAATATCAACTCTGATGGAGAGGAAGCTCATCTATTCCTGTCTACACACGAGAGAGAAGAGACTCTGAATTGACCAAGGAGCAGAGCAATGGCCACTGCTGGGAAGGCAAAGGAAAGATACAATTGTATCCTGTGGCTAGTGAATGAATGTTCAATCAATGTGCTTCTGTGTTGTGCGATCCTCCATTTTGGTACTTCTGAAGACTCACAGTTAAAAAGTAGGCTTCACTACATTCCAGCCTGGGCAACAGAACAAGACTTCATCTCAAAACAAAACAAAAAACAAAAACAAAAACAACCTCTGCCTTCAAAAAAAAAAACAAAACAACAACAACGACAAAAACAGGCATCAAATAAACAGACTTATTTTTAGGGATAATGCTTAAATAAACTGGGAATCTAGACCATCGGAGAAAAGCCCTCTTTGATGAAAATGTTTTTCTATTCCAAACTCTTATTTCTGATCACAGAATTAAATTTACAGAATTAAATTCAACAAAGAAATAAATTTATATAAAGAGTACAACTTATAATAATTTTTCAAAAACATTATATACTTCAAGACTGAAAGAAACTTAAGGAATTCAAAATTAAATATTAATGCTAAATGGAACAATGGAAGCAAAAAATGATCACAGGGATCCAAAGATTAAGAAGATTCAAAAAATGAGACAAACCAGGTGTTCTTCTATGGAATAGGCAGGTGGGAATGGAAGTTTCTGAAATAGCTCAGCAAAATGTCATACTGTTATGTAGGTAATCTATATTAATTTATGATATTTTTAACTTTTTATTTCTTAACTAATTCCCTTTTCCCACCTCAGGCCTGTTACTAGTGCACTGATGACTTGGTACCAATGCATTGCCATAATATATAATAAATAACATTATATAAAATTGAGTCAGCCTTAATCTGTATTTAAATTTTAAAAATAAATAATATGTAACGAAAACTGTGCTTACATTCGATTCCTAATCAAAGTCCAATAATGTTGATGGTTGTATTATGAATATTGTGTGCTAAATGTGCTTTTGGTTGTTGCTCTCATTTTTGTTGAAAACACCTTGAAGATTTAAAACCTGTGTTATTCTAGACATATTTACTCTCAAAACATCAGTTTCCTATGTGTAAAATAAGAAACTATAAGGAGGTAAACACAAAATCTCTTCTGCTCTAATATCCCTAGGATTATGTTAGAAATACTTACCAGGTAACTAACTTTTTATTCCCCGTTCACCTTCTGACTTCACTGTTTTTGAGCTCCAGTTCATTTTCCACTAGAAAAATTAAATTTGACACTGAAATATTACAAAAAAATGATCCATTGTAACATTTGGTATAATCCATTTGGGGCAAACATTCTGTGTTCATAGAAGACATTTGTGCCTTTCTTAAAAAGACTGTGGTTCCTTAGGAGAAACAAGGCTTTTTATATTTTGCTCTGAGGCTTTCGAGATCAGCTTTTGATCTCACATCAGATCCCAAGAACTCAAACTCTGATATTCAAATCTCTAATGGGAAAAGATATGTGAGCAATTAAACATTTCTACTGGGGAATTGATTAAACACAAAATGAAATGATGTAAGATGTTTTTCTACATCACGAGAATGCTGCAAAGAGACATACTTTGGCTTTTGAAATGGTAGGTTACTATATGAAAAATTTGATTATATTTATTATCTAATTTGATTTAGCCAGCTCAAAGCAACTTATCAAACAACTGCTATAATATTCTATGCAAATCAATGGTACAATAAATTGAAAAGAAGCAAAAATGTATCTAGTGATTGAGAAAAACAATTATAAATGAGTTTAATAACTCCGATATGTACTATGATAGAGTTGCATCTGCATTCAAATGAAATGCTGGCCACACAAGGTCAGAAAACATCAAAAGGCCTTCATCGAACAAATAAATTCACTCTATGAGTATTTTCTTCCAGGGATTGTTCTAGGTACCAGGTACAAAACAGAGAAAAGGAGAATAACTTGAACTGGGCATTAAGAATTACATCAAGTGAAAAATAGTGGATGAGAAATAGAAGGGAAAACAACACAAACACTTAAGTGGAAATTGGAAAGTCCATGGCGTGATTGGAGAATTGAAAATGAGATTGAGAATGTGTTTTCTAGTGGAGAAAGATAAGTATAGCTGAAAGACATATAAAACAAGTTAATTTAAAACTATGTGTGTGTGTATATATATATATATGTGTTAATTTAAAATTGTGTATGTATATATCTATAGCTATATTGTTATATACACACACCTATATATGTGTATATATATATGTACCCATCTATACATACATACACACATATATGGCTAAATTATCTTGAAATTCACTACAAGGAACTAGAACATTATGCAATTAATGAAGAGAATATTTATAAAAAAAGAATATTTATAAGAAGGTGCATTTTTCATCTTTGGTTGCATGTGGCAGATTAAATTTTTTAAGTGGCTTAAGCAAAAGTGGGAATTTATTGTTTACATGACAAAAATCTGGACATAGATTAGTTGAGAGAGGATCCAAGTGTTCAAAAAATTTCCCATTCTCCAGCTCTCTGCTATCCTTTTCTTTTTGATGACTAAACTCTCAAGCAGATTCTCTTTTTTTAGTAAAGAGAGCTATGAGATGTTTTGTGCAGTTTCTACCTGCCCAGAGGATTAGCCTCAGTAGAAAGAAGCTCTTCTTTTCCAATAATTCTAACAAAATCCCACAGCTGAGGCACTGGCTCACTAGTACCTATCCAGAAACAAATCAGCAGGTCTCTTGATGACTGGCCATGAATGCTTCCCAAAATACACTGGATGCAAAGACAGAGACCCATCAAGAACAGGAGAGGTTGGATCCCTACAGAAAAATTAAGGTGCTATTAGTGACTGATAGCTTTTCTTTTAAAGTCTATTTTGTTTTGTATTAATATAGCCTCTCCAGAGCTCTTTCAATTATTACTGCATAAAATTTTGTGAGCCTTTTATATTTAACTTATTAGGATTTTATAATAGAAAACATATTTTTTGATATCACAGAGTTTTGTTTGCTTTTCTGTTCAATCTGGCAAACTTTATCTTGTGATTTTTGTGTCTAGAGTACTTTTGGTTAATGTACATATGGGTAGAATTAATGTTACTACTGATTCTGCGGAATTAAGTTTACCATCTTGATACTTCATCTTTACTTGCTTCAAGTATTTCTTGTTTCTTCCATTCACTTTTTATTTTTTTGAGTTGGATTATTTTTTTATGATTCCATTTATTTTGTATGCTCTATTGACTTCTTATTTTAAGTCTTTTAAAATTGTGATACTTTTACAGCAATTTACAATATATTTACTAATAAATTATTGATCTTCTACATACCCTAAAAGAATAAACATCTAAGTCCTCCTTATTCATGATGCTATTGTTGTAGACTTTACTTTTACAGAGTCTATAAATGCTGTTTAATTGGTGTCTTTTCTTAAGACTGATATATTTCAGAGCAATTTAAAATCACTTTTGAATTTAGATCATTGACATAATTTCCCATGCTCTGTATTTATTTGCATAGCTTTGAGTTTCTATCTGATATCATTTTGCTTCTCCTTGGATATGTTATTTTAACATTCCTGGTGGCACATAGCTGCTGTCAATGAATTATGTCAGTTTTTGTTAGACTAATTTTTTTAATTAATTTTAGAAAGAGATTTCCACTGTGTATATGATCCTGGGTTGACAGTTTTGCTGTTTTCCCATCAACATTTTCAGTTTCTCATCCTTTTTTTCTATAATAACTTTTGTAGTTACTGCCAGGAAATCTGTTGTAATGCTTACAACATTGGAATGTAATGCTTACAACATTACAACAGATTTATTCCTTTAAATCTGTTGTTCTAAAGTGGAAGTCAATTTGTGTCTCCACCACCAAAAAGATTCATTTGGCAAAGGTAGAGATATTTTGATGTCACAGCTGGAAAGAGATACTCCTGACATCTAGTGCATAGAGGTCAGGATGCAGGTAGCTATCCTACTGCTCTCAGGATAGTGCCCAACATCAACGACTTTCCAGTAAAAAAATGTTAATAATGCTGATGTTGCAAAGCCCCACTTGATGTGTAATGGCCCTTCCTTTCAATATTTTCTCTTTTCCTGTTTTCTTCTCCCTGAGTGTGATGTGTGTGTGTGTGTGTGTGTGTGTGTGAATTTGGCTTAGTTCTAAGATCTTGAATCTATGGCTTGGTGTCTTTTGTTAACTTGAGAAAATTATTAGTCGTTATATTTACACATACTCTCTTTGCCTTACCTTTATCTTAAAAAAAAAACCTCAGAGTTTCTAATTACAGTTGTTTTTATTATTTGATATTGTTACACAGATTTTAGATGTGTTTTTTTCTCTGTGTCTAGTTTCAGGCATTTTATACTGATTGATCTTTAATTTCACTAATGTATTACTCAGCTATGTTGAGACTACTCTTGTGCCCCTTAAATAATTCTTTATAACTATTACTTTCTTACTGTAATTTCTAGTTGTTTTACTGATTCAGTTTTATATTTTCCACGACTTTGCTGAAATTCACTATTTATGCATGTTGTCTGTCTTTTCCAATAGAGCCCCTAGCAATCATAGTTATTGTATATTGCCTGTATAATATTTCTACCGTCTAGGCTATATCTGAATCTGGTTCTGTTTATTTGTTTTCTTACAGTGAGTTGTTCTCCCCTACATATATGTTCTCCCACATATTTTTTGTTAAGGATTGATATTATTTGTAGAACAATAGATGCTGAGTAAACAACATTAAATGTGTAGAGTTAAGCTGGGCTTAGGTTCTGTTGATACTATGGTTATATTAATGCACCACACACTACAAATTCCTCTAATGTAACCTTATATTTCAGTAAGAGGCTGATTTGTCAGAGATTCTGGATGTCTAATTTATCTAAGTTTTAAGTCTTCCTCTTGCTCATGTAACTCAGAAAGGTTCTTCCCCAAACCCTAGCAAATAAATTTCTCAGAAACTGAGTAAGTGAATCTCTATTGACTGAATATCAATTCCACTTGGATATAAGGAGATTACCAAGTTTGCTTTCACCAACAAATAAAAGTGACATAATTATATGTAGTCAATTATTTAAATAATTGATGATAAGGATTCATGAGAATTTTGACATATGTGAGTGATATTTAAAAAACATCAAATGGGCTGGGTGCGGTGGCTCACACCTGTAATCTCATCACTTTGGGAGGCCAAGGAGGGCAGATCAGCAGGTCAGGTGTTTGAGACCAGTCTGGCCAACATAGTGAAACCCTGTTTCTACTAAAAATACACAAAATTAGCCGGGTGTGGTGGTGTGCACCTGTAATCCCAGCTACTCGGGAGGCTGAGGCAGGAGAATTGCATGAACTTGGGAGGCGGAGGTTGCAGTGAGCCGAGATCATGCCATTGCACTCCAGCCTGGGTGACAGTGCAAGTCTCCATCTCAAGAAAAAGAAACAAAGACAACAACAACAACACAATTCCTTTCTGATCTTCATTTTAATGTGACTAAATATCATAATCTCAATGGACAAGAAAAACATTTTTTAAAAAATTCAATCTCTCTTCATAGTGAAAACCCTCAATACGCTAGGCATCAAAGGAGCATACCTCAAAATAATAAGAGTCATCTGTGAAAAATTCACAGCCAACATCATACTGGATGGGCAAAACCTAGAAGCATTACCCTTGAGAACTCGAATTAGAAAAGGATGTTCACCCTCACCATTCCTATACAGCATAGTAGTGGAAGTCCAAGCCATAGCAGTCAGGTAGGAGAAATAAATAAAAGACATTTATATAGGAAATGAAAAAGTCAAATTATCTCTCCTGGTTAACAATAGGATTCTATACCTAGAAAGCCCTAAAGACTCTGTCAAAGGCTTTTTGATAAAACTTGATAAACTACTTCAGTAAAGTTTCAGGATACAAAATCAATGTAGAAAAATTAGTAGTGGTTACATGCACCAGCAACATTCAAGCTGAGAGCCAAATCAAGAATGCAATACTAGGCAACGAAGTACCTAGGAATACGTCTGACAAAGGAGTTGAAAATCTCTACAGGGAGAACTACAAAACACTGCTGAAAGAGATTAGAAATGACACAACAAATGGGAAAACATTCTATGCTTATCGATTGGAAGAATCAATAACGTCAAAATGGCCACACTGCCCAAAGCAATTTACAGATTCAACACAATTCCTATTAAACTACTAACATCATTTTTCTTCTACAAAATTAGAAAAAAAAACTGTTCTAAAACTCATAAGCAAAACTAAAAATCCAGAGTCATAACATTACCCCAAATTCAAACTATGCCAAAAGGCTATAGTAACCAAAGCAATATGGTACTGCTGCAAAAACAGACACGCAGAATAAAAGAACAGAAGAGAGAACCCAGAAGTAAAGCCACACACCTACAGCCATCTGATCTTTGACAAAGTCAACACAAAAAACATTGGTATAAGAACTCCCAGTTCATTAAATAATGCTGAAATAACTGGCTAGCCATATGCAGTAGAATGAAACTGGACCACTAACTGTCACCATTTACAAAAATTAACTCAATATATATTAAGGACTTAAATTTAAGACCTTAAACTATAAAAATCCTAGAAGAAAACCTAGGAAATATACTTCTAGACATCAGCCTTTGCAAATAATTTATGGCTAAATCACCAAAAGCAATTAGAACAATAGCAAAAAAATGACAAGTAAGACTAATTAAACTAAAGAACTTCTGCACAACAAGAGAAACTATCAATAGAGTAAACACACAATCTACAGAATGGGAGAAAATATTCACAAACTGTGCATCTGACAAAAGTCAAATATCCAGAATTCATAAGGAACTTAAATCAACATTCAAAAGACAACCAAATTAAAAGGTGGACAAAAGACTTAAACAGACACTTCTCAAAATAATACATACAAGCAGCCAATGATCATATGAGAAAATGCTGATAATGACTAATCATCAGAGAAATGAAATAAAAACCACAGTGAGCTATGATCTCATACCAGTCAGAATAACAGATATTGGCAGAGCTATAGAAAAAAAGGAAAGCTTAGACACTGCTGGTGGGAATGTAAACTGGTTCAGCCCCTATGGACAGCAGTTTAGAGATTTCTAAAAGAACTGAGAGTTGAACTACTATTCATTCCAGCAGTGCTGTTACTGGGTATATACCCAAAGGAAATAGATTATCTACCAAAAAGACACATGCACCCATACGTTCATCGCAGCACTATTCCCAATCGCAAAGACATGGAACCAACCTAAATGCCCATCAGTGGTAGATTGGATAAAGAAAACCCGGTACATAAAAACCATGGAACACTATGCAGCCATAGGGTTGAAAAATTACCTATTGAGTGCTATGCTCACTACCTGAGTGACAGTTTCAATCATACTTCAAACCACAGCATCAACCAATATATCTTTGTAACAAATCTGCACCCATACTCCCTGAATCTAAAATAAAACTTGAAAAAATAAAGAATGCTGAAACCTGTGCTCTTCTACCAATAAACATATTTATTCATGGATAATTTTAGTAATTGAAATAAAAATAAAAATTCATCCCAATTAATATAGTTAAGAGATGCATTTCCATAGATAATTTTACAGTTTCTCTTTGAGTATTTTATAAATATTTCTAACACATTTAAGTTGTTTAGTAGAACTATGGTAATATTTGTTGTAGTGATTATTTGTTGTAGATAAAAATCACATAAAACTTTATTACCACAAGAAATAAAAGGTTAATTTACATATATTTATTAATTACAAAGTAATAAACTCATGTGAATCATAAGAGACACAATTCTGGAGAGTAAATAGAACTTAAATGTGAGTTCCAGGACAAAAGAAATGACAAGAAATTTGATAATCTATGTATTTTAAATTAATCATGTTAGAAATGGGGTAACTATGGCATGCAATGGAAATTATACTTTTTCTTTTTCAATTTAAATTTATAATAGGCCAATGGAACAGAACAGAGCCCTCAGAAATAATGCTGCGTATCTACAACTATCAGATCTTTGACAAACCTGACAAAAACAAGAAATGGGGAAAGGATTCCCTATTTAATAAATGGTGCTGGGAAAACTGGCTAGCTACATGTAGAAAGCTGAAACTGGAACCCTTCCTTACACCTTATACAAAAATTAATTCAAGATGGATTAAAGGCTTACATGTTAGACCTAAAAGCATAAAAACCCTAGAAGAAAACCTAGGCAATACCATTCAGGACATAGGCATGGGCAAGGACTTCATGTCTAAAACACCAAAAGCAATGGCAACAAAAGCCAAAATTGACAAATGGGATCTAATTAAACTCAAGAGCTTCTGCACAGCAAAAGAAACCACCATCAGAGTGAACAGGCAACCTACAGAATGGGAGAAAATTTTTGCAGCCTACTCATCTGACAAAGGGCTAATATCCAGAATCTACAATGAACTCAAACAAATTGACAAGAAAAAAACAAACAACCCCATCAA
This sequence comes from Homo sapiens, assembly GCF_000001405.40. Classification (NCBI taxonomy): domain Eukaryota; kingdom Metazoa; phylum Chordata; class Mammalia; order Primates; family Hominidae; genus Homo; species Homo sapiens. Next base: position 55,843,200 of record NC_000011.10, on the reverse strand, counting down.
AAAGTGGGCAATGGATATGAACAGACACTTCTCAAAAGAAGACATTTATGGAGCCAAAAAAACACATGAAGAAATGCTCATCATCACTGGCCATCTAAGAAATTCAAATCAAAACCACAATGAGACACCATCTCACACCAGTTAGAATGGCGATCATTAAAAAGTCAGGAAACAAAAGGTGGTGGAGAAGATGTGGAGAAATAGGAACACTTTTACACTGTTGGTGGGACTGTAAACTAGTTCAACCATTGTGTAAGTTGGTGTGGTGATTCCTCAGGGATCTAGAACTAGAAATACCATTTGACCCAGCCATCCCATTACTGGGTATATACCCAAAGGATTATAAATCATGCTGCTATAAAGACACATGAAAACATATGTTTATTGTAGCACTATTCACAATAGCAAAGACTTGGAACCAACCCAAATGTCCAACAATGATAGACTGGATTAAGAAAATGTGGCACATATACACCATGGAATACTATGCAGCCATAAAAAATGATCAGTTCAAGTCCTTTGTAGGGACATGGTTGAAGCTGGAAACCATCATTCTCAGCAAACTATCACAAGGACAAAAAACCAAACACCACATGGTCTCACTCATAGGTGGGAATTGAACAATGAGAACACATGGACACAGGATGGGTAACATCACACACTGGGGCCTGTTGTGGGGTGGGGGTGGGGGAGGGATAACATTAGGAGATATACCTAATGCTAAATGACGAGTTAATAGGTGCAGCACACCAACATGGCACATGTATATATGTAACAAACCTGCACGTTGTGCACATGTACCCTAAAACTTAAAGTATAATAATAAAAAAAGAAGAGCCAGAGATCAAATAAATAAATAAATAAATTTATAATGAATTATTTTTGAAGTATACTAAGTTTTCAATCATTATGTAGTTTTTCAAAATTAAATCTTTTAAGTGACACATGAATAAAAGAATTGAAGTATGGTAAAGTAAATTATGTTCTACATAGCAGGAATAGGAGCTACCAAAGATACTTTGAAATTTAAATTTGTAGGAAGAAGAATATGAGATCAGTATTTATGAAAAGTGTTCATGCTTCTATGGTTTAATCTCCAAATTATTGTCTTATGTCTCCGACTAATTTAATCATTGATCTGAGTACTTAAACAATATATATAATTTCTTCAGAATAAAAATTTAGAAGATTGTGTCTCTTACTTTATAAAAATGTAATTATCCTTTGCTAAGTAAAGGAAGAAACACAAGAATTTACTCTTTTGAAATGGAGTATTCCTCACTGATTTCGATCAAGATTAATACAGCTTTTCTGCTACTTTTCCACCATTGTTCCAGGTGTTAAAGATCAAGAAAGTGACAATGTATAATGGAAGACAGTTCACTTGTGAATATATAAAACAGTGTTGACTAACGTTACGTATTCACATATAAACTGTGATAAAAGTGATTTCAGTTCATCATGATAAGTTTATAATCATGTAACTATTGCAAATTATTTCATTGAACCAATACAACATGTTGCCTGGTTTTCATTTTACCTTTCCCCAAATAGCCATAATTTATTATCTCAATGTTTTTCAGGCTTAATTTGGAATTTCATTCAGATACATAGCATATAGAACAAAGGAAGACTGAATTATAAGTAATTCGAGTAAAAATTATTAAAGAAAAGATAAAAAAGATAAAGATTGCATTATAAAATTTCTAAATTAGATATTGTGTGTGTGAGGACCTCTTAAAATAAATATTACAATTATCAGGGGGCTATTGAGCCTCATTAATATACACAATTGTCTTGATCTTTCTTTCTTTGTTTAGATTGTAATTAAAAATGACAGTTAATTTAAAACAACATTCAAGTCCAAGTGGGCAATAAGCTCTCAATACTTATAACAGCTCCACCCAATTGTTTTAAGAAGGCTGCCTAAAGAGCCCTGATGAAGAGAATTGCAACATGCCCTTGTTCAAGCTGCTCTATAAATACTGATGGTAACTGGTAGGTGATGGAAAAGAAGCATAATCATTGAAAGTGAATATATCATCTCTGTGTTCATTCTCAATAATTCAAGAAGCAAATTAATATTTCTAAACCTCGCATAAATCCTTTCATTCTTGGCAGGGCACAGTGGCTCATGTCTGTAATCCCAGCATTTTGGGAGCCAGCCCAGGAATTTGACGCAGCCCAGGAGTTTGAGTCCAAGAGTTTGCAGATTGCTTGAGTCCAGGAGTTTAAGGCTGCAGTGAGCCAAGATCGTGCCACTGCTCTCCAGCCTGGACAACAGAGAGAGACCCTGTCTAAAAATAAATAAATAAAAATAAAATAAAATAAAAATTATTTCATTCTCTACATTGGAATTCTGTTTTGAAATAGATTAGAATAGTAGTAACATTATATTCAAATGTACATTTCTTCGCGTACCTAACAATATACCTTGGATGTATATGACATAAAATTGTAGCTCAAAAACATTTATTGAAATATTAACTTAATAATATATAATCACCTCCTTAACATTATCCATGCTCTTTACTCCTGATTAAAACTTCTGTCTTGCTCTTTTGTTTCTCTCAAAAACCTATTCATCCTTCAAGGCCAAATTAAAATAGCATGCAATTCTGAAACAATCTTTCCTGCATCTCCAAATGGATTTGAAGTAACTCTCTCCACCAATCCTTTTAGGATATTTACCAACATTACTGGATTTTGAAGTCCTAGAAAATGGGTCTATCTTTTTCTGAATACCATTTTTTTCACTAAATTTATAGTACCAAATTGCTTGTTCAATTAACACACCTATCAGTCACCAGGAAAGAAAGGATAACATAATTAACCTTTATTACACATATGTAATATGCCAGCTATATTGTTTACATTTTCATTTGCTTTCCACAATGTCTTATGAACTAAATCATATTACATGGCCAGCCACAGTGGTGCACGCCTGTAATCATGCACTTTGGGAAGATGAGGCGGGCGGATCACCTGAGGTCAGGAGTTCGAGACCAGCCTGGCCAACATGATAAAACCCCGTCTCTACTAAAAAGTAAAAAAAATTAGCCAGCCGTGGTGGTGGGCACCTGTAATCTCAGCTACTGAGGGGCCTGAGGCAGGCAGAACTGCTTGAACTCAGAAGGTGGAAGTTGCAGTGAGCTGAGATCGCACCACTGAACTCCAACCTGGGCAACAGAGTGAGACCCCATCTCAAAATAAATAAATAAATAAAACTATATTATTTTGTAGACAAAGACAATTATTTTGTAGACAAAATATTTTATAGACAATTATTATTTTGTAGTCAACGTCAATTAGTTTTGTCTGGCTTATATAAGCTGAGCCAAGAATAGCTTCCCTGATCTAAAACTCATAGCCATTCTATTGCAAAAAAGGTTTTTTTAAATCTAAAGTGATTTTTTTTAGTGAACTCTTGATGCACAGTCCATTTGAAAAAACAGGAAAAATTTATTGTTCAATAACAAAATTAAATGGATACCAATGCCTATGTTTAATATGAAAATATTTTGTATTGATTATTTTTCGGATTGCATCCTTAACATCTTTATTTCTCAGACTGTAGATCAGGGGATTCAACAAGGGGATCACCACGGTGTAAAACACAGAGGCCACTTTGACTGTGTGCCTGGAGTTTTTGGAGTTGGGTACACAGTAGAGGAAGAGGATGGTGCCATGGAAGATGGTGATGGCAGTCAGGTGGGAGGCACAGGTGGAGAAGACTTTGCGGTGCCCACTGGCTGAAGGCATCTTCAAGGTGGTGACAATGATGAATGCATAAGATGTCAGAATGATGAGTAGTGTGCTTATCTCATTAAAAGTGGCAACAGTGAAAAGAAGCAACTGGCTGAGATAAGAGTCAGGGTAAGAGAGTGATATCAGGGAGGATAACTCACAGAAGAAATGATTGATTGTGTTGAAACCATGAAAAGATAACTTTAAAGCAGAGCACGCGAGTGTCAGGGAACATGCGACTCCCCATGCATACAATACAACCACCAGCATGGCACAGAGTTTCTGGGAGATGGCAACTGTGTAGAGCAGAGGATTGCAAATGGCCACAAAGTGGTCATAGGCCATCACCGCAAATAGAATTAATTCAGTCACTACAAAGGTGCAAAAGAAAAAGAATTGCACCAAACATCCTGAGAATGAAATGGTTCTATCTTCTACAACCAGGTTCACCAGCATCATGGGAGCAATGATGGAGGAATAGCAGAAATCCACAAAGGAGAGGTGGTTGAGGAAAAAATACATGGGGGTATGCAATTTTGGGTTAATTTTGATGATCACTATCATCCCAAGATTCCCTACCACACTGAAGCCGTAGACTGCCAGAAATACAAAGAAGAGGGGAATTTGCAGTTCCAGGTAATCTGAGAAGCCCAAGAGAGTGAATGTGGCCTCAGATGTCGTATTTCTCTCTGTCAGAAACATGTTTTCCTTTCGTGTGATCCGAAAATCAGTCTTAGAAATTAAATATTGAAAGTGATTGACAAAGCAGCTTAACCATCCCCTCTGTAGAATATAAGGTGAGACAAAATAGATCTCTGTTAATATCCTGATAGGTGCTGTGTCAAGACAGGAATAACTACAGTTTCAAAATAGAATTACCATTAAATGTTGCTTTCTCCAAATTAGAAAATTAATTCTGTTCATGTCCTTAAATAAAATTTTAAAAACATACAGTTGTCATTATGAAATCAAGCAATTCAGGTGATAACATATAATAAAACTCTCATGTAAAACATCTGAATCTCACTGAACCTCACCAGTTCTGCAAAGAAAAATCCAGTAAAGTAAAATAAGTATTTATATCAGTCCAACAATTTCTAACAAAAAATGAGTCTGAAATAATTTCTATAATTGCAACTATTTTCTATATAATAATAATAAGGGCATATATTGTGATATAGTGAATGTAGTCTTAGAGTTATCATTTCTATCTATGGTTAATTTTTAGTTCAGCCTTTTAATTGTTATTATTCTTTTGAACTAAATAGGCCAGACATCAAAATCAGTAATTATTTATGTTTTTCAGTAAAGACATCTATTGAATGGTTTTATTCTACAGATAAACAAACAGAAGCTTGAAGAAGGCATGACTTGACCAAGACAGGTACAAATTCGATGCAATGGACCCAGTTTCCTTGACTCTCAGTCATAGACTCATCTCTCTATGCCAGGCTTTACTCTACATTACAGATAGAAATTTCAACATTTTACTTTGTAAAGATTACATTTTCATATATCATTTTTCTAATTCTTTTGACCACATTTAAGACAATCTTTAGATTATAAAACTATAAAAATTAGCCCAGTGAAAGTGCTGATGGATGCAGAGGTGTTCTGAATATTTATCAAAATGAGACATAGAGAATGGAAGTTAGAAAAATGTCCCCATTCAGGAATAAATATCATAAAAACCTATAAACATTGACGAAGACATTTTCTTTTTCTAGGTCCCCTCTCCTTTCCCTTAACATCATCAGCTAGGACACTCGTTCTGTCCTTCTCTTACCTGTCAATAATATAGATGAGATTCTTAAGGTGTCACCCCACTCTAAAGACATTCATGAGAAAGGAGTTTTTAATACAGAGAGAATGGTGGGGTTTCTCAAATTTAGGCATAGGGGCGGGGTTATCATAAAAAATTAGAACCCCAGTCAAATCTGAATCTCAGGTAGACAAAAAAATTGTTTATGGCCTAAATATGGTGTGGAACATAATCATAGTAAAAACTATTTTTGCTCATCTGAATTTGAAATTTAATTCAGTGTCTTGCATTTCTGTCTGCTGAATCTTGCAACTCTATATCCAAAACAACCCAGCATCTTATAGCAAGAAATACACCCTGGTTTACCTGACACTTTCCTCATTTTAGTACTGTAAGCCACTCACACCCAAATCTCTCAATCATATTCCTTTATAATTAAGACTTATGTGAACTGTCATTTATGGTAAGGTCATCTCCAATTCTGTAAACCAACAAATAGGTTCTAAATGTTCCAGCACCAACAGGGTCCCATGCAACAGCGAGAACTCTCCATAGTGCTATATGTTCATTTATGCAAGAATTTAAAGCACCAGTAAAAAGACAGTACTTTCTAGCCATTTCTCACTATTATAAAATTCATTCTCATTGAAGGTTTCTAAACTTCAGCAGTACTGACACTGTGCTGGATTATTCTTTGTTTTGGGAAGCTACCCTGTGCATTATACCATGTGTGGCAGCATCTCTGTCTTCCATCCACTAGATGAAAGTCTCACTTCCCCACGCCCTCACCCAGATGTGAAAATCAAAAATGTTTCCAGACACTGCCAAATGTTCCCATCAGGAGAAGGGTAGGGAATGCATAATTCTCTATGCTGCCTTGCTTCCTTGATTCTGATAGATTGCAATGTATCTTCTACTGAATTCAATTTAAGACTGAGGTGCAATTTAAATATTATGGTTTCTTGTATCCCAAATTATACTATTACAAGGATTAAACAATTGTATTATCTTTGGGCAATGTGGTGTCCAAAATCTTCTTCCTTGTAATATCCTCCTTTTCTTTTTCTTTTTGCCTTCATGACCCCATGTTGTTTTTTCCATGCTCTAAAATATTTAGATTAAGTTGCCTTTACTATGTTTCTCCAGAAGGTTCATTTTATTCCTTTAAAAATTCAATTTTATGTAAATGCCTATCTCCCTTCCTCAGCTCTTCTAAAAATTTACAGAAGCAAAGAGTTATATATTCCTGAATACTCTCTGGGCTCTTTTATTCTCCAATTCCCAGGAAACAGTTGTTCAAGACACTGCTATCAGAGACAAAGCTCTGCAGGAAAGGGGTACTTTCTGTTCCCCAGATATCCAGATACATAATATCTTCTGTGATTTGAAATTCCCCCCAAATTAATTTCCCAAGGAAAAACTGAAAATAATTGAAGGTGTCTTCTAGATACTTTACATGTAAAAGAATATCCACGTTTTCTCAGACCTGAGAACAAACCTGTTGGTGGAAAAGGTAGCCCCCCCCCTCTGCCTCTGGAGAGCTTGTCTGGGGGAGATGCTAAGACTTTTATTTCTACTACCACTCCCAGTGGCATCATGACCTAGAAAACATTAGTTGCCTTAATCCCCAGGAGACTCAAAACAAGTCATTAAAACTAAAGACTCTTTTCTGATGTAATTTGGGTTTCATATGAAGGAAACAATCACAGCTTTAGCAACATTTTTATGAAGGTTAACTTAAAAGTTGAAATATCATCTCCTTATGTTCCAAGATTATTTCCAACATGTCCATTTTTTTTTTTTTTGTAAAATGACAAAGTATAGCAGGAGTTTTCTTTTTTATTTACTCAACAATTATTTCTTATATATCTACCATGCCCTTGGTCTTTGCAAATCTTAACTGTTCTCTCTGTTACACTAACCACACAAGAGATGCAGGGAGATTCTTCCTTCAGGTCTCTCATCTGCTTAGTTAATTATTGCCAAGGATATTAGATGCAGATCCGATCTTCATGTATAGAGAGGACAGGACTGCAAACGTTTGGAATTTGTTTCTCAGTGTCATCATAAGAAATTACGTCTAGCTACAACCAATATATTAAGGTATCTGATGTTGTTGCAAACATCCCACATATCCTGTAAACAAATATAATAATAGTAATGATAATACCAGTAATATCTGCTGTTCATCTCCTCTTTGGTTCTGATTTACCATATAAATTTCATCAAGCCATCCAAACTCATAAATCTCTTCAAATCCCAAACTTCCTTGAAATTCTTGATTATCTTCTTCATCACCACTGGTATTTCTTTAGGTCATTTTATAATTTAACACTTGCACTGTTCAATAGCCTCCAAATTGGTCCTTATGCCTATAAATTTATCCTCTTATATATGCCTGTCACACTACCACTAAAATAACTCTTTACAAATAAATCTACTTGTATTTGTATATTTGTTTAAATCTTCACAAAATATCTCTTGAATGCCTATACTGGGGAGTTTTTGCAGGGCTGATATAATAAAAGAGAAAGTGGACCATGTGAATATATCACTTATTCCAAAATATATACATAAATTATGTGTAAACTAAACTAAACAAATGAAAGTTACAATTACATCCTCAAAAGTTATAAAATAATTCTGCTCATGTTTTTAAATGTAATTTTCAAAACCTACAAGTAAAATCAATATTAACTGCAACAATTTGGATAATTAACGTGTAATCAAATTGTCCTGTAAAACATGCAAATCTCACCAAACTTCATGAGTTGTGCAAATCAAAGCCTAGCAAAATAAAATAACCTGTTATATCAGCCCTACAATAGGATTATTCCCCAGCATGTAAATCTTAGTGATTTGTAATTATTTATATGTGCATATCCAAGTTCCTAAAATTGACATCCAAATGCTTTTTTAATAGACTTATTCCTCTTCATTTTTATATACAAATTTTAGTGTCCATAAACATGATTATCAATATCAATGTATCATATGTCCTGTTTTACATATTTGCATATTTCATGAACTGGTGCCACAGACCCTGGTGGACTGAACAAAGGAGGACGAATGCGAGAATAAAGACAAAAACAAAAGAGTATGTTTGGAAGAAGGGGTCAGGGAGCTCCTTGCTTCTAGTGAACAAGGGCCTTGAGCTTCTAGAGCCCTTCGTATTTATTGAGTAAAGGAGATAGGGAGAAGGGGGTGATTGTCGGTCAGTTGTTTGATTTAGTGCTGTCTTGCGTGACTGCTTTCCATGAACAGTAGGCTCCAGATGTTCCAGTAGATAACCTCAAGAAGCATGGTGCCAGGGAGTGACTGCCCTCAGCATACCTTCTGGCGGCAGGCACAGATGTGAGTTTGCCCACATTCTGCATTCATGATAAACAGTTTGCTGTTTGATCATATAGCCTCCAGTGGAATGCTGAGTTGATCATGACCCTCAGGCTTTTGGCTCCCAACAAACTAGTCCACTGCTAAATTGTCATTTATTTTATCCATACAGCAAAACATTGCTGAGTTGTGAAAACTTCCTTGAGACATTTTCTGACTCCTCCCAACCAAGTTCAGTATTTTTGGGTACTCACAATTTCTGTGAACAGCCTGTATTTTATTGTTGCTCAGGTCACAGTGTGACGTAGCTATCTGCTTATACATTTGCATGGCTTTCTCTCTAACTAGAGTGTGGATTCCTGGAGATAACAAATTATTCATCTTTCACCTCTGTATCCACCTCAGATATTTCTATGTCTACTCAAGCATGAGTGTATATAAATATAAGTATATATAAAGAGAACCCTTAGCTTTATTTTTTTCATCTGGAATATTTGCTCTCTGATACTCTTCATGTTAGGAGTAAGGCTATGGTTAAAGACCATATGTTAGTTGCCACAGCCAGAAATAAATCACAGGTATTACGTTATAGCCTCCTGATTTTCACTCTGTACTATTAGGACCTACCTTAAGCCTTACCTTATGGTATGATCCTCACATCTTAGGTATGAATATCTAATAGTTGTGAATTGAAAAGTCTTGACTGTACCAAAACAATTCCATTTATAATGTATCCTAATATGAACTCCATTGTTGTTCTTTTTCCCAACAGAATTCTAGCAAAGATCAATTGCATTTGAATCCATACCATATTTAATCTATTCTAAGTCATTTCTTTTTTTCTTTTTAAAAATTTTTTTATTTCCATATGTTTTGGGGGAACGGGTCGTATTTGGTTATATGAGTAAGTTCTTTACTGATGATTTGTGAGATTTTGGTTCACCCATCACCCAAGCAGCATACGCCAAACCCAATTTGTAGCCTTTTATCCTACACTCCCTTCCCACCCTTTCCCCCTGAGTCCCCAAAGTCCATTGTATCATTCTTATGCCTTTGCATCCTCATAGCTTAGGTCCCACTTATGAGTGAGAACATAAAATGTTTGATTTTTCCATTCCTCAGTTACTTCACTTAGAATAATAATCTCCAATCCCTTCTGGGTTACTGCGAATGTCATTAATGCATTCCTTTCTATGGCCAAGTCGTATTCCATTATATATATCATACATATATATATATATAATATAAATATAAATATATCACAATTTCTTTATCCACTCATTGATTAATGGAAATAAACCCAAATAGTTACAGCCAACTGATCTTTGACAAAGCAAACAAAAACATAAAATGGGGAAATGGCACCCTGTTCAACAAATGGTGCTGGGATAACTGGCAAGCCACGTATAGGAGAATGAAACTGGATTCTTATCTCTCACCTTATAAAAAGTCAACTCAAGATGGATCAAGACTTAAAAATCTAAGACCTGATACTATAAAAATTCTAGAAGATAACATATAAGTCATTTTATCTATGATAAAATCTCTGTGACTGGATATATCTTACGGCTAACAGTAAAGAAATCACTGTGTTGTGGTTTAATTAACAAAGTTTATTTCTTGTGGAAACGTCTAATGATGGTAAATCTTACAGTGTGTGAACTATGAAATGGTAATGGCCATAGAGAAGAAGGAAACATGTTGAGAAATATTTCAGAGATAGCATTTCTGTGTCTTGGAAAATGTGTAATCATCTATATAATTAGGGTAATTATAGCTATGTGAAGGCCTAATTTAAAAGTAATCAGAATCTATTGCCGTCTTTTAAAATAAATGCTATTGATGAAATTGTGGCCAAAGAGTTTAGATAGGCTTGCCTTAAATCACGGATAGTGACATAGGCAAAATCTGCTATATATAGAATGGGTAGTGTTGTTATCTGTCTGTTGGTTTGTCGTATGTGTTCTCCACCTAAATATTAATATTACTCCTTAATGACCTAATATTAAAAACAAAGAAACAAACTTCTTTTCAAAGTCAATATTTATGTTTTTAACATTAGAAACATAAAATGCGTTTTGCTGTAGGCCAAAAATATCCAGAACTAGCTCTAATTCTCACATTTTCAAAGATGGTTCTGCTTAGATTGCCTATAATAATAGTAAAAAAAGTGGTTCCAAAAGAATGAAAGTTGGTGGATCAGAACAAATTTTAGAATATGGGTTAGTTTACCCCTGCAATTTGTTTCCAGTGTTCTTAAGAAGGCTGCTTATTCACATGTTTAATTGATTTTTAAATTTTAGCATCACTTTTTGCTTGTTATTGACTTTTCTGTTGAAGAGATTTTCAGTCTGCAATGAATAACTGCTTATATGGTTGATTCCTTGGAGTGTGGATGTTGAAAAACGTGAACTGTTATGCCAACACATTTGTAAGGAACTCTGTAATTTGTTCCATTAAAAGTGGTGTGTAAAAATGCCCTCCCCCCACCAATAATTACTGTACACAACTAGAGACATAATATAGTTCTTTCTATGTATTAATATGACAGTTACTAACAGAAGAGAGGTGTTATATATTACTACCTTGCACAGTGTTAATGAGTCTGTCAGGTAAAATATTGTATTTTGAAAATTAAACTGAATTATAAAACAATATGGCCATACTCTTTATTATAGAAGTTGAGGTATCTTTATTATAGAAGTCGAGGTATAGACTGAAATATTACTCAAGGTTTGGCTGAAAGGCTTAATATTCTTAGCATTTCAATGCTAAAAATGTAATTTATTGAGGAATGTATATATGTTAATGGAATATTAAATACCTATAGGGAAAAAAAGCACTCTCAATAAATGATGTTGCGAACATTGCTATATAGTTTGGCAATGGAAGCTGGATATTTATTTTGTAAGCATACATTCATTCAACAAACATGTACAAAGCAAATAAAAACCAATAAATTTAAGATATCAAATCATATAAAATTGAGACAAATATATAATGGATATATTTTAGGATATATTTATGATTTATTTTTACTGCACTTATTGTTAAGTTGCCCAAAATATGAGTATAAAAACATGAAAATGTAAACTACTTATTAAAAAGTTTTCTTGCTATATAAAATTAAATTACATTACCAAATTATGATATTTTTTGTAAATTTTATCCTTAGAAGCTAATAATTTTTAAATCTAGAATATCTTATAAATCATTATGGAAAACATTAACACACAGTGAAAATAAGAGAAAATGATTGAACAGAAACTTCAAAGAAAAGTTGAAAATGTCATTGAAAATTAGATGCTTATGTTTTACAAATCCCTCCCTTTCTTTCTCTTCTCTCTCTAATTTTCAGGTTGAGACAGAAATAAATCTACTGTCTTATATAACTTGGCATTTAGATATTTTCCAAAGCTATATTATGTACAAAATACATTATTACAGAGACAATGTTTCTTTACACAATTTTCTGGGTGATTTATTGACTTTGAGTATATCATTTCACTGGATACAAAACATGGAATAGAGAAGTGAACCTAAATGCTAGATCTACCACCTGTGGTTCATTCATTTACACCCCTTCCCTCATTCTGAATTACCCTTTCCATTCTATCAGGCCAACAAGGTCACCAATTGCTAAGAGAGCTTACTATTGGTGACTGGCATTCCCTTTGAAACAAGCTGCCCAGTGAATCTCATCTTAGTTACCATTACCAAAAATAGCCAAGAAAAATATAGGACTTCTTACTATACAGAAATTGTGGGAAAAATTATTAGATTAAATATGTGATTTGGCACCATGGAAATTTGTTCCCCAGATCTTAAAGGGTGACCACAGCCTTGTGTTGCATTTGTTCTACCAATTTTACCAAGAATCAATTGCATTTATAATTAATATAAAGAGATCAAAACTAAGAATCTTGATTTTTACTGAAGTGTTCAGATACAGAAAGATGTACACACTCTAGGTAATAGGAGAAGAGGGTTTTCCTTGTACCCTGTGCATTGTACACCGCAAGTCCCTCAGAAGCTGTGTTTGTTGAACCTAGTCTCATTTTCATGTCCACTCTCCTAGTCCTTATGCTGTGATCTTGCTGCTGGGGCTTGCAAACTGTATTCCCCAGATGTCCTATCTAGCTGCCTTCCTTTTAGATCCGCCAGAGGAAGTAAGGGGGTAAGGGGAGGAGGGGGAGAAGGGAAGATGAGAAGGAAATGGAAAAGAGAGAAGAAGAACATCTCTTCTTGATTTTCCAGTTTCTCTTAGTGTGAATCTAGCCACAGTGGATACTTGGTGTGTTCCAGCTTTCCATGATAACCTCTTCAGAGGCAGGAGCAGCCATCTAGCACAGCCTTCTTTGGACCATGTCTGAGCGTGCCACAGGACACTGGAAATCTGCTGAGTCCTAACCCAGCCTCAGAGGCCCTGACACACTAAGCGTTATGTCTCTTCCTCAAGGGATTAACACCGGCGGACTGAGCTGCTTCCACGAAGCTCTGAGGTTCTGGGGACAATGTTTCTTCCCTATTGCCCTCTAATATCAAGAGCAATAGTTACTTCCTAAAGTCAACAATCTTTAAATAATACAGCATCTCCTGTGTGCTCTTTTGAGCCTCTAATCGCTAACATTTCATGAATTAGATCCTGCAGAGCATTTGTTTTCCTAAGTAGACCATGACTGCTAGAACATTCGTGACAATGTGGACCAACTCACAGTTCTTGAAGTCTCTCGAAATGTAATCTGCATAGTAATCCCAATATGCTTACCATAAATTCACCAATATCTACTCATCCATGCATTTCATAAAAATAAAAGATTTTTTAAAAACTTCTCATATGCCACTGATGATGAAGTAGATAAAAAGTTAAATAAACCCCAAGCTTCAATGACTTCATTTAGATATACACTGAGTCTCTTCCTGATGTCAGTAAGTACACATATGCTATGAAATTTTAATCTCAATAAAATTCCATGAGGTTAAAACTATTATCCAATGCTAAAACAAAGGAAACTGAGGACCAAATAAGTTAAATTACTTGACAAATTAAAAAACCAGGGTCAAAACACCAATCTCGGTTTTGAAAAACTCAAACCTATTGCTTTTCTAATATTATTACAGACACAAAGAGAGAAGTTTAATTTAAACAAGTAAATAAAATGAGGAAATTGACATAAGTCGTAATGGAATCACAAATAAAGCATTAATGGTGCATATAATTCAACAGGGAATTAAGAAATGTGGTTTAGGTACATATGGAAAGAATACAATAAAAGAAAGTTAAGCCAAAAAAAAAAGAACACATGCAAAGAACATGAGCAGAGGTTAAAAGTCATAAGTGTCAGTAAGCATCTCTTCATCAATAGATTTTAGGGTTAGTATGAAGATAAGCAGTAAAGATAAAGTGAGAGAAGAGGGTTAATTCAGAAATGCTGTGATTCATAACAATGGTTCTAAATTATTATCTGTACATATTTATATTATATATGTGTGTGTGTGTGTGTGTGTGTGTGTGTGTGTGTGCGTAATGTAGGTAGAGAGAGAGACAACTAATAATTATGTTCCAGGGATTATTCTAAGCTCTTTTTATGTGATTCCAGCTTCCTTAATGCAATTTCCCTAGAGTCCGCTGCAATTATTATTTTCGTCATCTATCAAATCACATAGTACCCAAAATTTCAATGACATTGTACACTGCAACAGCAGAAACAAAATAATGAAGAATAAAACAAGAAACATAAAAAATCAAACAATGACAAACACATATATATGCATAGATATATGGAATTCTCATTCTGTACACACTTTGACGATGGTGTAATCGTCATTATAAATAATGGAAATTTTATTTGTAAAAGAATCATAGTTTCCATAAATGGATACTGAAATAAAGTGTAACTCCTCTGAGTTCTTCACTAGATTTGTGAAGGTTTTACAGAAAACTAAATGTTTGTATCTTAATAATGTTGTGGCTCATATCCATTTAAAACATCACAAATTTATTTTTATAAAAGTTGGCTGCAAATTTTGAAATATGTTCAATCCTATTAGTTTAAATTTAAGAGAAACAAAGATAAGTGAATCAAAAAAGGATCCCTCATAACTACTGAGCTCCTTCTTCTCTCTACTCCAACACTGCACCCCTCCTACGAACCTTCACTTGCCACAACTTGGGGATCCTGAATTCTGTGAATAAAATCTTCCCTAGGAGTGAATTTTGGAGCCCATCACTTTTCTGAGAGCTTTGTTCACATCCTTATTTCTCAGGCTGTAGATCAGGGGGTTCAGCATGGGAATCACAACTGTGTAGAACACGGTGGCCACTTTGTCAACATCTCCACTGTTGCCTGAACTCGGCCTGCAATAAATGTAAAGGATTGTTCCATGGGAGACAGTGATGGCTGTGAGGTGGGAGGCACAGGTGGAGAAAGCTTTGTGCCTGCTCTCTGCAGAGTGTATCTTCAGGATAGTGGTGAGAATTAGCAGGTAGGAGGTGAGGATGATCATGATGGTAACACTCTCATTCAAAGTGGCCACCAGGAACAGCAGTGTCTCATTCACAGTGACATCAGAGCAAGCAAGACTTAGGAGAGGGGGTAGATCACAGAAGAAGTGGTTAATCACATTAGATCTATAGAAGAGGATCCTAAGAGCTAAGGACGAGTGAATCAGAGAACACACCGTCCCACAGAAGTAGCAGCAAGAGGTCAGCTCCACACGCAGCTTCTGAGACATGGTCACCATGTACAGCAGGGGGTTACAGATGGCCACAAAGCGGTCATAGGCCATCACGGCCAGCAGGAAGACCTCAGTGACTCCACATGTGCAAAACAAGTAGAATTGCACCATGCACCCTAGGAAGGAGATGGCTTTGTCCTTGTTAAAGATATTAGCCAACATCTTTGGCACAATTATTGAGGAGTAGCAGAAATCTACAAAGGACAAGTGGCTGAGGAAAAAGTACACGGGGGTGTGGAGCCGAGAGCTGACCTGAATCAGTGCAGTCATGCCCAGATTGGCTAACAACGTGACTCCATAGATGAGAAGGAACAGCAGGAAGAGGCAGACTCTCAACTCAGGGACATCTGATAGTCCAAGGAGAATGAACTCAGCCACAGTGGTGCAGTTTTCCTTGCCCATGTCTCCAATTTATGCAGGATTAGAGGAGAAAAAAACCTAAAACTTATTCTCCATTATATAGTCTAAATTTTAGTTTTGGGTGTATCCTGTAAAAAGATATCAGAAGAAGTAGGATAGCTAATTTTTATCAGCAAAGAACAGAAATTTTGGGAAATCTGAAAAAGTTCAACATTGTATAATACAAATGCATAAAACATACAGTTTAATTCAAAGATCAAACAAAAACATTGGCATTTAAAAAACTTATAGAATTCTTTTAATTAATCTTTCTCAGTTGAGACATTGGCACAGAATCATTAGGAAAGAGGTAAAGTTGTTTAATTTGCCTTATGATTATATCAAAATCAAATCCCCTTTTCCTAGCTTACTCCAAATATTGAGATCCTAGAAAATAATGCTTAGAATATATGGTACCCCTCTCTGAATTTTCCACTACAGTGATGGGGAGATATACTTAATTAAGATGTTAATTCACAAGTGTTTATATTTTATTGATATATTTTAGATGAAGAAGCTCATTTTATTGTGTGTATTATCTTTTTTTCTATAAAATTAGCCTGGTGATTTGGTTAATTACACTCTTCAATGTTGGCCATGGTTCAGGGAATTGGTACTCTTGAGCACAACTTATTGTAACTATGACTGTTCAGTCCTAAAACATTTATTTGTTAAATAAATTTACTGCTTTCAATCTATTTGAAGAATTGATCAAAGATGTGCATAGAAAATGATTAAGAAAAACACCCACTACTGCATTGAACTATTATTTGTAATATTAAAAGTTAGAAATAAAATATAAAATAAGAGACGTGGTCACAAATGTAGTATATATAATGGAAATGCTTGCAGTTATAAAAAGGATAAGACTGCGATAAATGATAAAATGGAAAGTTATAATACAGTCAGATTGAACATAAAGAATGTTATATAATAATGTATAATATAAATATATGTATTTATTCTACTCACACACATAAGCTGCATCATATATTTAATCTGTGCAACATCAATGAGCATAAATATTTATTTCAAAAAAATAGATAAACTTACCTGATTCCTCACAAAACATCATTATGATGGAGTGGAATGGGGGAAAAGGATGGAATTTTTAAAATTAGGGACACATACTTTCCAAATCTTCAACACACAGCAAGTGTAAAGTGAGGGTGAGAAGCTTCCTATTCTCTCTCCCTGACCCTTGATAGATGCACACATCATTGTAGAGGCACGAGCTGAGCACTCTGGGCAGAAAAGAATCTGGACTGGAGACCAACAGAGCCAGGTATTTTTCCCATTCTTCAACTGATTTCAAAGATATACAGGAGGCATATAACTAAATGCTAGATTGAAAATTACTAAAATGTTCTGAAGATAAGATTTTCTCTCTTAAAATGACCAGGAGAAGTATGTTACATGTCCTTCCCCAAGATCAAACTAGTACATACTTTCAAAAACCCCTTCCTGTTTTCAAATATAAAGAAAAAAATCAAGCTGTTAATTGCCCATAGAGCAGTGTTTCTTTGTCAGGAGTGACTTGAATCCCAGTGGAATATTTGTCAATGTCTGGAGACATTTTTGGTTGTTACAAGAGGAAGGGGGTGCTATTGACATGTAGAGGGGACGCTGCCAAACACTCTCCAATGACCTCTACAAAGCACATGAAGGTCCCTGCCCACAGCACACACAACAAAACATTATCTGGACCAACATTTTAATGGTGCCTTATTTGAGAAACCTGCCATAGAGAGACATTTCAAAGTGATTTGCACAAAGACAAAATAATTCCTCTTCTTTCTGCTTCAGAGGTGGTTCTCATGTCCATGTCCCTCCATGAACAGTCCCGTGGGCCTCCTACTGCCACCCTCAGCACTAGGATGACTGTTAGGAAAATCTCCATGCAGTCTTAACCAAGTCGCATGGACAGAGTTAGTGTAATAGAGGGGAGAGAGGGAAGGATAGAGAAAACAAGTGCTTATGCCAATGTCTTCACACTGCTTTACATCTCACACTAATAGCTGTTATAAGATGTTTGGTTTTACAGATTAAATAGTTCCCACTTCCCACCAAAATTGTCCCCTAATACACAATGAGAAAAATATTGTCATCAAGGAGTGCTCAAACCATGGCATTTAAAAAAACATTATCTGATTAAGAGAGGGATAAAACACAGACTTAAAAATTATCTAATACCATTACCATCCTTTTGAATTCCCCTTCTGGAGTGTATGACTATAATAAGCTACCTCCATGAGGAAAACACATCAGGCTTCCAGCCCCCAGAAAATATAGTTTATGCTCATTCCAAAAAATACAAAATGTAGTTCAACCAACCATCCTATTGGAAAGACATTGCTTTTCCTTTCTGAAGATGCTATGATGAAAAATATTATGTGTTTTGTATTTTGTGTGTGTGTGTGTGTGTGTGTGTGTGTGTGTGTGTGTGTCCCTGGGGCCCATGTTTCATAAGCTTCCCAAAACAATCACTGATCTCTGTGGGATATCAAATGGGTATCAAGGAAACCATCCTATCCTGGGACTCCAACAATTATTGACCACTATGGAATATAAACAGGGTGAGAAAAAATCCAACTTGGTACATATTATTATAATGTAACACAATTACATTCAGACTTCATGTAAATTGCATAACATTGTATGCCACATCCAAGCATTGCCTCTGTGAGCCAGTACTCACATTGCCATTTCATGTTATGAAATTATATAAATAGGCATTATAAAATTTGTTTCACACTCAAAAGCTCCTACCTAAAGGGCATAGAGTCTGAAACCACACCAGAGATCCTCCAAATACCAGAAAGGGGTGGGGATAAGGAGTCCCTTTTACTAAGAATACTAATAATTGCTGATACTAATACTAATAATTTACTGAGTACTGCTCATGTACCAGATACTATTCTAAATACAATTATGAACACATTTTATCTTCATAAAACTGGTTGACATTAGTACTGTTATTTCCCCTTTCAAAATAAGGTTATAGAGGCACAGCAGGTGTAACTCACCCACAGTCACACATAGAATCCCTGATAGAGACAGGTCAAGTGTGGCTTTTTGGCTTGTGCCATCTGTGCAACCATAAGGAAGAGCAGAGCTCCAGAGTGGTACCGGGGGTGCAGACTCCCTATTCAATGCTAGTGGCCATTAAATGGGAATATCTCAAGGATCTCCCCAAGTTCTGCTTCCTTCTTGACTAATACAGCAATGTCAACCTGAATGAGCAGTGTTCAAAGCACAGTCTGTGTGCCCCAAGAGAAACCAAACATTTCAATAATTCCATTGATATAAGCAGTTATAATCTATATGTGTTTTCCAAAAGTGATCCGAGAATTATCTGCATTGTAGGAGGCTTTCTGGGTTTCCTTTTGTAACTAGCATTCTCACAACAGCTTTTCTCTCGCTCTTTAAAAAAGCATGGGATTTCTCTAATCCATTCATACTTACCATGTGAATCACTCCGATGAGAAAAAGAAAAGCAAACATCCAAAGCCTAAACTTGAAATGTTATTCATGAGGGTTGAAGTTGTCTTTAATCGAAACACTTCAAATCCATGATATGACTTGTTTTTCTATGGTGTTTGTAAATCTTTTCATTGAAAAGAATCGCAGTTGACATGTACTATAGCCAATAGAACCTTGCCCAGGTGTGGTGATTAATGCCCCTGATCTGAGCACGTTGGGAGGGGTGCATGGTGACCAGATCTCTCGATCTCGGGGGTTACAGACCACCTTGGGCATAATGGAAGAACCTTATCTCTACAAAAAAATACAAAATTTAGCCGAGCTGGGTGGCGTGCACCTATATTCCCAGCTACCTGGGAGTCTGAGATGGGAGGATCACTTAAGCCCAGGAGATCCGGACTGCAAGCTGTGTTTGCGCCACTGCACTCCATCCTGGGTAACAAAGAGAGAACCTCTCTCTCTCTCTCTCTCTCTCTCTCTCTCTCTCTCTCTATATATATATATATATATATATATATACACACACATACACACACACACATATATGTGTGTGTATATATATATCCTTTACCTACTGGCTATTGTGTATGAGTTTATACATAATGTATACATTATGTATATGTACTCAGATATGTACTATATACATACTCAGATATATAGTAAAATGTTGAAAACATTTGTTTACTACCTATTCACTTTATTTTTAGTGTACTGCCAAAGTATTTTCACAAACTCATCTCTCTTGAAGATGAGAGTCATGATAGAAAAGCTGAAAGTTCTATAGAGAACATCATTACCAGTGGTGCCTTATGTTGTATAGGCTCACAAGAAAGCTGCATACCTTATTTGTCTTAGGCTTAAAGGGATGGGAGTTGTTTTGAAAACTTGATTTAAATTTAAAACAGTTGTAATTAATTTCATGGTCACTATTCATAAATTGAATAATACAAATGTGAAGCACTAAGCTTTTGATGACATGTACTTAAACCACATAAGATGCTATCTGAATAAAATATTGTATTAGCAAGTATTAATAAAATCAATAATTTAAAATTTAACACATTTTATTATTTTAAAATGTTTCCTCAATGTGGAATAATAGAAGATGGTGAATTATTACATAATAAAACATCGTGAAGTTTTTTTGGTAGCATTCCCAGAATTTGAGAAAGTGAATGACTCTAATGACTGTATAACAAACCACTCCAAAACCTATTGGCTAAACACAACAACCTCTTATTGCCTGTGACTCTATTGCATGGATCATCCAGGTGGTTCTGCTCACATGTCCCTGGCATGGCTGATCTTGGCTTGTCTTGCTTGTGTGTATACTGTCAGCTGGCAGGTCAGATCATCTCACAGGGCTTCACACTCAAGTCTGGTAGGTTGCCAGAGAAAAGCCCTTGTGATGGGGATATGGGCTAATTTTCCTCATTATCAAATATCCTATTTTATGCTTGTTCCCATGGCAGCTTTTCAGGATTTCAAAAGATGGTGAAATTCAGTATTCGATTTAATATTAAAACAATGTCCCAACTTCTGAGAAAATTAAAAATTGTATAAGTACCAGATGTGTACAAAGGATAAATGTTTGAATACCTGGAGATACAGATATCAAGAGAAAAAGTATTCCCTCCTCAGGCATTTAATATCTAAAACACTGTTCCTTACATTTTGAAAAATTTTTCTATTACAAGGATTATTTAGTGGATTCTTTATCAAATAATATATGTAAGATGAATCACTTTAATAATTATCATAACTTTAATAATCATCATAAGGTCAAAATAATATGAACATTCTAAATAAATTTAAGAAGTTTATATAAAATTGTTCCCCAGTTTATTTTTTCTCCCTTAACAAAACACCTGGAAATTTACTTCTTCCACTATATTGATGATTTGTTTGGAACTGTATCTAGACACATTGAAAAGGAGAAGGGTATACAATTTATTCGAATGAAAGTGAGTTATTAAGGTAAGAAAGAGCTAGCATTTTTAATTTGCTGTGTTAAAGAGGTCTTGATATTAATGATTACCTGATTTTTATTTATTTTGAATAAGTTTATGCAGCCAAAGAGCTTTCAACACTTAAGACTACTCCAAATACCTTTTTATAAAGGTTGTTGGGAATTCTGTTGAGAAGGATTCAGAGATTATTTCCATGCTCATAAAAAAATCATAATGGATTGATAAAGTTTGTGATGTCTAACAGTATGACATACAGGTTGGGCAGGTGTTCATCATCCCTAATTTGGTACATAGGATTTTCTAAGATCTGATCCATTATTCATCAGCATCTGGTGAAGTCTATTATGGTTTATCAGATGGTCACACTGGAGCTCCTTTGAAAACACATTCAGGATGTAGCCCATATCATATTAAAATTTCAGTTCATGTCAAGTAACCCGTATACATAAACACACACACACACACACACACAAACACACATTATATTATGTTAGCTCAATAAAACAAGTATTAGATCTTTGACTAGGTATTACATTCTTACCTAATTGGTTTTATTCACATTGTTTTCTCCAGAAGAAAACTCCTTTCTCCCTGGAATGTATCTCATAAACTCCGCCCATTTCCTTTTCAAAAGCCGGTTTCAAACAATACCTATTTCATTAAGACATCCTTCTAAAATCCCTAAGTAGATTTGAACTTTCTCTTCTCTCAAACTCTCTTTGGTACATATTAATTTCTGCCTTACACAATGGCCACTTCTTCATTGTCCTATTATCAACACAGTTTTCATCCTTGAAGATGAGGACTATTTCTTCTTTTAACTTATTTTGCACATTTATAAAAGAAATTCATATGTTTCCTAAGCACTTAGTCTATTCCCGGTATCTTATAAGGAAAGGACATGAAATTAATATCCATTGACTTACGTAAGGTGTCCATTATATTTTAATCTTCACAATCAGACTATGATCTAACCCATACTATACTAATTTCATAAATGAAATATTAAAGATTAGAGGGATTACTGATGCTTCCCAGAAAGTAAGAGACAGAGCTAAGTTTAGTCTGTTGAAAAGAAAATCCATTTCGTTGAGTTGTACAACCCTAACTTTGTTTATTTGTAAAGATATCTTTAAGATCAATATTTATGGACAGAATTTATTTATATGTGTGACAAACTCCATGAAAGTAACAGGCTCAGTAAGAGAAGACTTTGGTGTCCAGTATCTCGGTGACTGTATCCTTGACATCTTTATTTCTCAGACTGTAGATCAGGGGATTCAACATGGGGATCACCACGGTGTAAAACACAGAGGCCACTTTGACTGTGTGCCTGGAGTTTTTGGAGTTGGGCACACA
Organism: Homo sapiens; assembly: GCF_000001405.40. Taxonomy (NCBI): domain Eukaryota; kingdom Metazoa; phylum Chordata; class Mammalia; order Primates; family Hominidae; genus Homo; species Homo sapiens. The sequence goes on along the minus strand of NC_000011.10, from coordinate 55,820,409 downwards.
GTAAAGGAAGAGGATGGTGCCATGGAAGATGGTGATGGCAGTCAGGTGGGAGGCACAGGTGGAGAAGGCTTTGCGGCGCCCACTGACTGAACGCATCTTGAGGATGGTTACAACAATGAACGCATAAGATGTGAGAACGATGAGTAGTGTGCTGATTTCATTAAAGGTGGCAAGAAAGAATAGCAGCCACTGGTTGATGTAAGTATCAGAGCAAGAAAGGGAGAGTAGTGAGGAGAACTCACAGAAGAAGTGATTGATTGTGTTGAAACCATGAAAACATAACTTTAAAGCAGAGCACGTCAGTTCCAAGGAACATGAGACTCCCCAGGCATAGGATCCCACAACCAGCAGCACGCAGAGTTTCTGGGACATGTTAACTGTGTAGAGCAGAGGGTTGCAAATGGCCACGAAGCGGTCATAGGCCATCACAGCTAATAAAAAGGATTCAGTGACCACAAAGGTACAGAAGAAAAAGAATTGTACTACGCATCCTAAAAATGAAATGGTTCTGTCTTTGACAACAAGGTTCACCAACATCTTGGGAGCAATGATGGAGGAATAGCAGAAATCCACAAAGGAGAGTTGGCTGAGGAAAAAGTACATGGGGGTATGCAGTTTGGGGTTGATTTTGATGATCACAATCAACCCAATATTCCCTAGCACAGTGACATTGTAGATGGCCAGAAAAACCAGGAAGAGTGGGACTTGCAGTTCTGGGTAATCTGAGAAGCCCAAGAGGGTGAACGTGGTCCCACTTGTATTTCTATCAGTCAGCAGCATCGCTTCTGTTTCTTCGAATCTGAAAGTTAGTTCTGAAAACAAAAATGTTAAGGAGAATGAGAAAATAAGAAGGGTGATTGAATACCTTTACGGCTCCTGAAGGATGAAGCAAATATCTCTTCCGGAATCTATGAGTTTGTTGTTTAAGATTTCTTAAATATCTAACATGTAAAAACACTGTAATGTTTTTTAATTTCTTAAGAAAAATACAATTATTGAGTAAAAGAGTAAGTTAGTAACTGTAATTTTTAATATTTCCAAATATAGGAAAATGAGATTAAATATTTGTGATTATTTTAAATTAAAAATTTACATAATAATTTCAGGCCTCCTTAAGCATTCTACATAAATGATCTTCCTCGTATAATATGATGACTGATTGTGTAAATCTTATAATCAGTTATACAAATCAAAATTTCATAAATTAGTTTTCACATAATTTGTTTATACGATGACATTAACTATCAAGAGCCCTAACGCTTAACATTTGTGCCTTTATTGTTAATTCCATATAGCAGTTTAATGTTTGTCTGACCCAGAAAATTTGACTTCAAAATACAGCTGAACTAATTGTTTCAGAGCGTATGCTCCAAAATCAGGCTGTACTAATTATCAATCCTTCCTCATTGCTTGAGAAATAATAAATATCGAATAGTCAATACAGATACCCTTGTTTATTCTTTATTCTATAGGTGACAAAGTAGAAGCCAGAGAAGCTTTGAATTTCCTATCGATATGCCCAGGAAGGCCAATCTACACATCTGTGACTAGGGTTTTGATCCTTGAACTCCTAGACATGTAACCCTTTACCCGCACCAAACTCTGCTCCATTATCTAGGTCGAGATACTAACACATTCCCTTCATTAATAACCATACTTTCAATTAATAAGCAGACTAGAGAATCTACATAGTCCAGTGACAGTTACTGCCACAAAGATATATTAGAAAGCAGCATCAAGATAAAACACATGAGAATGGGATTGAGGAAAATCTTTTTACCCAGAAATAACTAGTGTAAGAGTCTGACTTGCAAACTTCCCTTTTCTTCTAGGTCCTCTCTGTCTATCCCTGTCTCCATGTCTATTTCTTTTCTCTCCCTTCAAGACACATTATATATTCATTGTGTCCATCTATTACCTATGAAGGAGAAGAACTAAAAACTTGAGATAGTACAGCAACATGAATACATTTCATGAGAAAACAGAAAACAATAATAGGAAAGAATCATTATATTGCTCTAATTAGTGTCCAACACCTCTCAGATGCTATCATATCTGTAATCTCTTTCTCTATCATAATAGACATTATATCTATTCACATAACCCACCCAAATTTTTAGACGGCCTATCAAGAAAGATGTTAATTTACATGCAAGACCAACATATTCAAGGGCCCTCTCTTCCTATACTCATGAATTTGTGTATTAAAGACAACCTCAAGGCCGGGCGCGGTGGCTCACGACTGTAATCCCAGCACTTTGGGAGACAGAGGCGGGTGGATCACGAGGTCAAGAGATTGAGACCATCCTGGCTAACACGGTGAAACCCCGTCTCTACTAAAAAAAAAATACAAAAAATTACCCGGGCGTAGTGGCAGGCGCCTGTAGTCCCAGCTACTCAGGAGGCTGAGGCAGGAGAATGGCGTGAACCCAGTGAACCCAGGAGGCGGAGCTTCCAGTAAGCAGAGACCCCGCGCCACTGCACTCCAGCCTGGGCGACAGAGCGAGACTCCGTCTCAAAAAAAAATAGACAACCTCAAAAGACAATCCATCACAAACCCAGATATCCTAATTAGCATATTTTTTCTTTTCTCTTTCTTTCTTTCCTTTTTTTTTTTTGGAGACAGAATCTTGCTCTGTCGCCCAGACTGGAGTGCAGTGGCGTGATTATGGCTCACTGTAACCTCCGCCTCCCGCCTCCTGGGTTCAAGAGATTCTCCTGCCTCAGCCTCCTGAGTAGCTGAGATTACAGGCATGAGCCAAAATGCCTGGACAGCACATTTTTTTCTTAACACTGCATTTTATTTATCTAAGGCATTTAAATTTTATTTTAAACTAATGTTACATTTTACATAATGGCCTTTGTGTCCAAAACGTAACTATAAAATAGGTAATAATGCTTTAAATATTTGAATCCCCGAAATATGACAGATGAAATCTTCTTTCCTATAGTTTATCTCCTTTTGAATTTAGTTGTTATTTTTGCTTTTAGGGCTGACATGTGTTTCCTGTTATATAATCTTAATTAAAGCTGGCGCCTTTTATTTTTTTCACTAGAGAGTCTATTATCTCTCTGTTTAATTCAATTTACTTCAATATTGCCTATTCTACCTTGACTTTTTCTCCAAAACTTAACAGAAGCAAGGCAATACACACTCCTAATATTCTCAAAGCTCTTCTATTTCCCCATCCCAGGTACCTGTTTTCATAAGACTATTGTTCAGGAGTCAGGCCTTCTGATACAAAGCTTCGCAGAAAGAGAGCACTTCCTGTTCTTTGCACATTCACACATATTTTCAAGAACTGCTTAATCCTAAGGGTGCATTTTCCTCCTCCTAAGTTGTTAAGTAGGTTGAAATGAATATCAATCTGTCTTTAGAATCTTAAAGCAAACCTGCTGATGGCAAAGGGAGGACGTTTCCAGGCTGAGAGTGATACATGTTTTCTTATATCTATAGTTACGCCTAGGAGACATGAACCATAGAGACTACCTATTGCCCCAGTCTCCTGAGCTCACACACACACAAAAAAAATTAAAATTAATCACCATTATCTCATGTAATTCTAATATACTAGAAACTTGCAGAAAAAAAATTAAAACATCAGGAGCACTTCATATAAAACTTTCATATTTTAAAGTCATTTTCCTCAGCCCTCTTATCACTTCCATATATTTCTCCAATTATAAGAACATGTGTAATTTTAAGATCATTGGTATCAGATACTGATCCACTAACTACTATTTGCTGGACATAATCCTCTTCCTCCACACCACACACTCTGACCATATTAAAAAATAGGAAGATCTAGCTTTCCGGTCATCTTGACTCATTTGGGTTAAAGCAGAAATATTACGAAGTAAACACTCAATTGGATAAATATTATAGTCCCTGTTAAATCTCTGTTCTCTTAATTACTCAGTGTCTTTTTCTCTCTCTAATTTGGATTTGGCAGGAGAAAACACTGTGAACTAGTTCTTTGGTTAAAAAGGGACTTTCGGTGTTCTTGTGAGTACTCTTCATTTCTATTTGATCCTTTTAATCTCAGAAATAGTCTGTCTTCCTTTGTCTTTGTCTTTTTGTGTCATTTGTCCTAAGGAGAGGAACCATAAGGTAGAGCACACAGGTGCAGGTCAGTATGAAAAGACAGAGGAATGGAGACACATGATTTTAAGCAGCACTTTCTTTGTCCAAACATGCCAACCTCTCACAGTTTTTGTCATCTCAACTTTGTTCCCTGGATTTGTGCTGGGAAACTCCCATCTCAGTGTTGCCTGCCCAGTGTCACAGATTATCAGGCCTCTATTGAAGGTGTCTCACATTCAGTGAGAGACTAGAGATCTGTGAGTGAATTTTTGGATCATGGAGGCTGCCTTTTCTGCACTCACTCCAGAAAGACCCCTTTTATCCCTAGTAAAGGTTTATTCTAATTCTAGAAAGTTGCCTTCTGGTCTTTCCACAAAAGCCTTGTTGGATTAAGTCCTATTGCATTATACACACCAATGAAGATCTTAATTATCAATTGAAAGAAGACAGATCTTTTGAAATATATATATATATTTCTTTTGAAATCAGAACTTTTGAAATAAATAAATAAATATATATATATATATATATATATATATATATATATATATAGAGAGAGAGAGAGAGAGAGAGAGAGAGAGAGAGAGAGAGAGAGAGCGCCAGTGTCTTGCTCTGTCACCCAGGCTGGAGTGCAGTGGCATGATCTCAGCTCACTGTAACCTCAGCCGCCCAGGTTCAAGTGATTCTCCTGCCTCAGTCTCCCCAGTAGCTGGGACTACAGGCATGCACCACTACACCCATCAAATGTTTGTATTTTTAGTAGAGAAAAGGTGTCACCATGTTGGCCAGGCTGGTCTTGAACTCCTGACCTCAAGTGATCTGCCCGCCTCTGCCTCCCAAAGTGCTAGGATTACAGGCGTGAGCCACCATGCTCCGCCCAAGCCTTCCCTATTAAAAAAAAAATTAGAAAGCACTCTTTCTAAACAATTGGCCTATTGGCATTTATGGGAAGATCAGATAAAATTAAGAACTCATGTAAGTATTACGGCTAGTTGTAAGATTTTACTTAACAAAATTACAGAACTAAAAGCAGACCTAGAGAAAAAGTTGAAATTTGAGCGCATTGTTAGTCTTCCCGCTCCACCCAGTTAGATCCCACTTGATTCCCTGCTCCCTTCAGTTCCTCCAGGGCATGGCGATGCTGAAGTACAATGCAGGCCAAACTATCGACTTCTGATTAGAGTATTTTCATTTTTTAACTTTTGTTTTAGATTCAGGGGTACATGTGCATGTTTGTTATATAGGTAAATTGTTGTCACAGGGATTTGCTGTACAGATTACTTCATCACCTGGGTAATAAGCATAATACCTGATAGGTAGTTTATCACTTTTTGATTGGAGAGTCTTTAATGTTTGAACCAAACACTCATGCCAAAACTGCACCTAACAAAATCATCATTATATTCTTAATATTATTAAATACCCAATCCATTTTTAAATTACCCCAATTGTCTCAAAGGCATATTTTTTCCAGTTAGTTTGAATCAAGATTCAGATAAATATGGTTGTTATAAAAGTTTACTTTGTTATATAACCATTCTTTGTGTGACAGCCTCTGTGTGTGTGTGTGTTAGGCAATATTTTGGGGGAAAAATAATAATAATGAAGCATTCTCTGTATTTGGCTTAGTGCTTCATTTTGTGTCATTGTATATATTTCTGTACCAATTTTTTAAACTAATATTCAGATGAAGATGACTTATTAGCTCAGGTTCATTCTTTTAGTGTCTTTTAGGCAAAAATTCTTCATTGATTTTTCTGACTACTGTTGGTTGCAGTCCATTGAGAAGCATATGATAACTGGTTGATGACAACTAGTTGTCCTACTTTAAGTGATGATCATTCTGATCTCTGGATTCAAGTAGTGTCAACCTAATTACTTTGTTTTAAAATTACCCACAAACTTTTTTCCTAATGATTGTTATGTTCATTGAAGTCACCTTGATCCACTTTTTAAATGTGGAGTTCTACAATTGTGATTGTCTGATTTCATTCTTGATGCTTTTATTTCTTTTGAACTTCACCTCTGAGGTGATGCTGAAATATAATTCATATAGGAAAATTGGAATGAATGTTTGATTTTTTAATAACGTATTTTCAGAGTAATGAGTTGGTACCCTGACAACCATTAGTAGTAATCAATGATTTCTTATATTTTTTCTTTTTTAGTATCTAGATAGAAACATACATGAGGCCTTTAAATCAGCTGCATCAATATTCATTTTTACATTAAAATCTTCTAACAATAAACCAGTGGCAGCAATTTCAAATCTCTTCCTATGTGTCTTAGAGACAATCTGATTAACTGTTGACAGTATTCTAGCTTCCTGGAACATCGAACAGCCCAAGGCTCATCTTGCATATTTTCCACCCTAGACTTCAAATTAGCCATTTCTCCAAGAAGCCCTAGTTCTGTTTAGAGATAAAAGGTTTCCTTTTAGAGAAAATTTGGAAAATAAAAATGTTTACAGCCATTTCTCCAAGAAGCCCTAGCTCTGTTTAGAGGGAATAGGTTTCTTTTCAGAGAAAATTTGTGAAATAAGAATGTTCACAGTGACTCTGTTATGGCTTTTAGTGGTAATTAGGAGAAAAACTTCATTTCAAAGTAAATTTCTAATTCAAATTAAGATTAAAGGATTTTTATTTATCTTTTCATATTTTCGAACTGTGATTCTTTTCTCATTTGCTGGCAAACTTTGTTTTAATAACACTTAAATAAGTACTTGTCTTTATTAAGTTTGCTTCCACCTCTTCCTATTGCTATTAGTTTTTGTTTTACCTTTCTTTATTCTTTCACACGGTATCATAGTATAAAATTTTTCTGAATCTTGTCAAACAAATAAACACAATGAGGAAATTGACATAAATCATAATGAAGTCACAAAGAAAGCATCAATGGTGCATATAATTCAATATAGAATTCAGAAATGTGGTTGGGGTACATATGGAAAGTGAAATAAAAGGGAGTTCAGCAAAACTAAAAACACATGAAAAGAACATGAACAGAGATTAAAAGTCCTCTTATAAGTGTCAGTAAGCATGTCTTCCTCAATGGATTTTAGAGTTAGTTTGAAGATAAGAAGTAAAGATAAAGTGAGAGAAGATGGTTAATTCAGAAATGCTGAGATTCATAATAATTCTAAATTATTATATGCACATGTTTATGTATATATAATATATATGTATATAGCATAGACAGAGAGAAAAAGAGAGAACTACTTATTATGTTTCAGGGATTATTCTAAGCTCCTTGTAAGTGATTCCAGCTTTTTAAATTCAATTTTCCTAGAGTCCTGTGAAATTATTATGTTTTTCATCTATCATATAACATATTATCCAAAGTTCCAATGACACTGGAAACTAAAACAACAGCAAGAAAATAATAAAGAATTTTAAAATGTCAAAAACTGATAAATATATACACATTATACATATATATGGAATATATAAATATTCCATATGTATTCCACACATATATATTCCATATATACATATAATCCATATATATATGAAATTCTACAAACTTCAATGACAATGTAATCATCAATACAAAATAATGAAAACTTTGTTTTGAAAAGAATCGTAGTTTCCATAATGGATCCTGAAATAAATTGTAACCCTTGTAAGTTCTTCATTAGAAGACTTGTAATGGTTTTAGAGAAAGCAAAACTTGTCTATCTTAATAATACTATTGCTCATATCCATTTAAACATTATGTATTTATTTTTTAAAAGTTGGCAGCAAATTTTGAAATATGTTCAATCCTACTCCTTAAAGTTTAAGAAGCACAAAGATAAGTGAATCAAAAAAGACTCGCTTATAACTACTGAGCTCCTTCTTCTCTGTACTCCAACACTGTGCCTCTCCCGTGAACCCCCGCCTGCCACTACTTGGGAATCCTGAATTGTGCTAATAAAATCTTCCCTAGGAGTGAATTTTGGAGCCCATCACTTTTCTGAGAGCTTCTTTCACATCTTTATTTCTCAGGCTGTAGATCACAGAGTTCAGCATAGGAATCACGACTGTGTAGAACACGGTGGCCACTTTGTCAGCATCTCCACTATTGCCTGAACTGGGCCTGCAATAAATGGAAAGGACTGTTCCATGGAAGACAGTGATAGCTGTGAGGTGGGAAGCACAGGTGGAGAAGGCTTTGTGCCTGCCCTCTGCAGAGCCCATCTTCAGGATGGTGGTGAGAATTAGCAGGTAGGAGGTGAGGATGATCATGATGGTAACACTCTCATTCAAAGTGGCCACCAGGAACAGCAGTGTCTCATTCACAGTGATATCAGAGCAAGCAAGACTTAAGACAGGAGGTAGATCACAGAAAAAGTGGTTAATCACATTAGATCTATAGAAGGGGATCCTAAGAGCTAAGCACAAATGAATCAGAGAACACACCGTCCCACAGAAGTAGCAGCAAGAAGCCAGCTCCACACGCACCTTCCAAGACATGGTGACTGTGTATAGCAAAGGGTTACAGATGGCCACAAAGCGGTCATAGGCCATCACGGCCAGCAGGAAGACCTCAGTGACCACACAAGTGCAAAACAAGTAGAATTGCACCATGCACCCTAGGAAGGAGATGGCTTTGTCCTTGTTAAAGATATTAGCCAACATTTTTGGCACAATTATTGAGGAGTAGCAGAAATCTACAGAGGACAAGTGGCTGAGGAAAAAGTACATGGGGGTGTGGAGCCGAGAGCTGACCTGAATCAGTGCAATCATGCCCAGGTTGGCTAACAACGTGACTCCATAGATGAGAAGGAACAGCAGGAAGAGGCAGACTCTCAACTCAGGGACATCTGATAGTCCAAGGAGAATGAACTCAGCCACAGTGGTGCAGTTTTCCTTGCCCATGTCTCCAATTTATATGAGATTGGAGGAAAAGAAACTTAAAAATTATTCTCCATTATATAGTCTAAATTTTAGTTTTGGCTGTATCCTGTAAAAAGACACCAGAAAAAGTAGGATAGTTTATCTTATCAGCAAAGAATAAAACTTTTTGTGAAATTTTAAAAAGTTCAACTTTGTATAACACAAATGCATAAACTTAGTTTAATTCAAAGATCAAACAAAAATATTAACGTATATATGAATTTATATTGTTCTTTTAATTAGTCTTTGAGAATTGACAGCTTTTCACTGAATCATTGGGAATGAGGTCAACTTACTATTTAATTAGCCTCCTTACTCTTTCAAATTCAAATCCCATTTTCTTAGCCAACTCCAAATATTGGGATCCTAGAAAATAATGTTTAGAATCTACGGCACCTCTCTCTGAATTTTTCATTACAGTGATGAGAAATACACTTATTTAAGATGTTAGCAGTCAAGTGTTTGCATTTTATTGATATATTTTAGATGAAGAAACTCATTTTATAATCTGTATTAGTATTTTCTCTGTAAAATTAGTATGGTGATTTGGTTAATTACATTTTTCAATGTCAGCCATGGTTTAGGGAATTGGTACTCTTGGGGACAACTTACTGTAAGTATGACTCCACAGTCTTAAAAAATTATGTCTTAAATAAATTTACTGCTTTCAATCTATTTGAAGACCTGATCAAAGATGTGCATGGGAAATTACTAAGAAAACTTCCCACTGCTGCATTGCAGTATTGTTTGTAATATTAAAACTTAGAAATAAAATATCAAATAAGAGAAAGATGATCACATTTGTAGTGTATATAATATAAAAGCATGCAGTCATATAAAGGATAACTTTAAATCATCTTAATGATATCAATAAATGACTGTGAAAAGGGATAAAATACTTAAAAACAGCCAGAATGTAGAGAAAAAATAGTATATAATAATGTATAATATAAATACATATATTTATGCCACACACAATCGTATATTTAATCCTTACAACATCCATGAACATAAATATTTATTTTAAAAAATCTGTTAACTTGTCTTACTTCTCCCAAAACATCATTATTAGTGAGTGAAATGGGGAAAGACGTTGGAATTTTTAAAATTAGGGACACATACTTTTTAGACCTTTGACACACAGCAAACGTAAAGTGAGGGTGAGAATCTTGTCATTCTTTCTCTTCCTGACCCTTGATACGTTCATACATCATTGTAGAAGCACCAGTCAAGCACTCCTGCAAGAAAAAAATCTGGACTAGAGACCAACACAACCAGACATTTTTCCCATTCTTCAACTGATTTCAAAGATATGCAGCATGCATATTGCTAAATGCCAGGTTGAAAATTTAAAAAAATTGTTTTGATAATATGGTGTTTTCTCTTAAAATGACCAGGAGAGGTGAGTTGTGTATCTTCCCCTGAGTTCAAACTAATACACACTTTTGAAAGCCCTTTCCTGCTTTCAAATCTAAAGAAAAAAAAAATCAAGCTGTTAATTGCACATAGAGCGGTGATTCTTTGTCAAAAGTGACTTTGATCCCAATGGCATATTTGTCAATGTCTGGGGACATTTTTGGTTGTTACAAGAGGAAGGGGGTGCTATTGACATGTAGTGGGGATGTTGTTGAACAATCTACAATGCCTTCTACAAAGTACATGAAGGTCCCTGCCTGCAGCACATACAACAAAACGTTATCTGGACCAACAATTCAATGATGCCTTAGTTGAGAAACCTGCCATAGAGAGGCATTTCAACATGCTTTTCAAAAAGAAAAAGTAATTCCTCTTCTTTCTGCTTCAGAGGTGGTTCTCATGTTCATGTCCCTCCATGAACAGTCCTGTTCCTATTGCCTCTTGCTACCACCCTCAGCATCAAGGTGACTTTGGAGATAATCTCCATGCAGTCTTTACTAGGTTGTCTGGACAGAGTTAGTGTGATAGAGGGGAAAGAGGGAAGGATAGAGAAAACAAGTGTTCATCCCAATTTGTTCAGACTGCTTTTCATCTCACATTAATAGCTGTTGTAAGATATTTGGTATTGCAGATTAAATAGTTTCCACTTCCCACCAAATTGTCCCTTAATACACAATGAGAAAAATACTGCCATCAAGCAGTGCTCAAACCATGGCATTTGAAAAAACATTATCTGATTAAGAGAGGGATAAAACACAGATTTTAAACATTTTATAATACTATTTCCTTCCTTTAGAATTCCTCCTTCAGCAATGCATGACTATAATAAATTACCTCCATGAGGAACAAAAGTCAAGCTTCCAGCTCCCAGAACATATAATTTATGTTCATTCTAAAAAATACACAATGTAGTTCAACTAACCAACCTATTGGAGGGCCATTGCTTCTCCTATTTCTGAAGATGCTATGATGGAAAATGCTGTTTTATATTTGTGTGTGTGTTTGTGTGTGTGTGTGTGTCCCTGGGGCCATGTTTCATAAGCTTCCCAAAACAATCACTGATCTCTGTGGGATATCAACAAAATATCAAGGAAACCATCATATCTTGGGACTCCAACAATTACTGACCATTATGGAATATAAAAGGGGTGAGAAAAAATCCAACTTGGTACAAATTATTGTAATCTAATACAATTACATTCAGAGTTCATGATGAAATGCAGAACACTGTATGCCACATCCAAGTATTGCCTCTGTGAGCCAATACTCACACTGTCATTATGAAATATATGAATAGGTCTTATAAACTTCGTTTGTCTTATTATACTCAAAAACTCCTTCCTACAGAGCATAGAGTCTGAAACCACACCAGAGATCCTCCAAATACCAGAAAGGGGTGGGGATAATGAATCTATTTTACTAAGAATAATAATTGGTTACATTTACTGAGTACTTCACCTGTGCCAGGTACTATTCTATATCTAACTGTGAACACATGTTTTTCTTCATAAAAATGGTTGACATCAGTACTGTTGTTATTTCTCCTTTAAAAATAAGGTTATGGAGGCACAGCAGTTGTAACTTGCCCACAGTCACACACAGATTCCCTGGTAGAGAGCAGCCAAGTGTAGCTTTTTGTTTGTGCCATCTGTGTATCTATAAGGATGAGCAGAGCTCCAGAATGGTACTGGTGTGGGTGACTCCTTCTTCAATGCTGGTGGTCATTAAATGGGAATTTCTCAAGGACCTCCTCAAGCTCTGCCTCCTTCTTGACTAGATATAGGAAGGTCAACCTGAACAAAGTGTTCAAATCTCAGTCTGTGTGACCCTAGATAAACCAAACATTTGAATAATTCCATGGATGTAATGAGTTACAATCTATATGTGTTTTCCAAAATTGATCTGGGAATTCTCTGAATTGGAGGAGACTATCTGGGTCTCCTTTTGTACCTAGCATTCTCACAACCACTTTTCTCTCACTCTTTAAAAGCAAGGGATTTCTCTAATCCGTACACATCTTTCCACGTGAATCACTCTGATGAGAAAAACAAAAGCAAATATGCAAAGCCTAAACTTGAAATGCTGCTATCCATGAGGCCTGAAGTTGCCTGCAATCAGAACACTTCAAACCCATGGTATGACTTGTTTCTCTTTGGTGTTTGTATATTTTTTTTCATGGCAAAGAAAGGCAGTTGACATGTATTCTAGCCAGTATAACCTTGGCCAGGCATGATGACTACTGACCCTAATTCCAGAACATTGGGAGACCAAGGTGAGCAGATTGCTTGATCTTAGGAGTTCAAGACAAGCCTGGGAAACATGGTGAAACACTTTCCCTACCAAAAAATTAAAAAATTAACCAGGTTTTGTAGCATGCACCTGTAGTCCCAGCTACTTGGGAGGATGAGATGAGGGGATCACTTGAGCACAGGAGTTCCAGGCTTCAGTGTGCTGTGTTTGCACCACTGCACTCCAGGCTGGGTGGCAAGAGAGATCCTGTCTCAAAAAAAAAAAAAAAGCTGGTGGCTATTGAGTATGACTATATGCATAATATATACATATTGATATGGTTTGGCTGTGTCTCCATCCAAATCTCATCTTGCATTCCCACGTGTTGTGGAAGGGACCCAGTGGGAGGTCATTGAATCATGGTGGCAGGTCTTTCCAGTGCTGTTTTCATGATAGCAAATAAGTCTCGTTAGATCTGATGGTTCTAATAGGGGGAGTTTCCCTGCACAAGCTCTGTTTTTGCTTGCCACCATCCATGTAAGATATGACTTGCTCCTCCTTGCCTTCCACCATGATTGTGAGGCTTCCGCAGGCATGTGGACTAACTGTAAGTCCATTAAACCTCTTTCATTTGTAAATTGTCCAGTCTTGGGTATGTCTTCATTAGCATTGTGAAAACAAACTAATACAGTAAATCAGTAACAGTAGAGGGCATCGCTGCTGAAAAGATACCCAAAAATGTGGAAGCAACTTTGGAACTGGGTAACAGTCAGAGATTGGAACAGTTTTGAGGGTTCAGAAGAAGACAGGAAAGTGTGAGAAAATTTGGAACTCCCTAGAGACTTGTTGAATGGCTTTGACCAAAATGCTGATAATGATATGGACAATGAAATCCAGGCTGAGGTGGTCTCAGATGGAGATGAGAAATTTGTTGAAAACTGGAGCAAATGTGACTGTTGTTATGTTTTAGCAAAGAGACTGGTGGCATTTTGCCCATGCCTTAGAGATCTGTGGCAATTTGAACTTGAGAAAGATGATTTAGGGTATCCAGCAGAAGAAATTTCTAAGCATCAAAGCATTCAAGAGCTGACTTGGGTGCTGTTAAAGGCATTCAGTTTTAAAAGGGAAACAGCATAAAATTTTGGAAAATTTGCAGCTTGACAATGGAATAGAAAAGAAAATCCCATTTTTCTGAGGAGAAATTCAAGCCAACTGCAGAAATTTGCATAAGTAAAGAGGAACTGAATGCTAATCACCAAGATAATAGAGAAAATGTCTCCAGGGCATGTCAGAGAACTTTGCAGCAGCCCCTCCCATCACAGGCCTGGAGGTTAAGGAGGAAAAAATGATTTTGTGGGCCAAGCCTACATTCCCTTGCTGCATACATTCAGGACTTGGTGCCCTGAATACCGCTTGCTCCAGCCATGACTAAAAGGGGGCAAGGTACAGCTTGGGCTGTTGCTTAAGAGGGTGGAAGCCCCCAGCCTTGGCAGAGTCCAAGTGATGTTGAGCCTGTGGGTACACAGAAGTCAAGAATTGAGGTTTGGGAACCTCAACTTAGATTTCAGAAGATGTATGGAATTGCCTGAATGCGCAGGCAGAAGTTTGCTGTAGGGACAGTGCCCTCATGGAGAACCACTGCTAGGGCAGTGGGGAAGGAAAATGTGGAGTCAGAGCCTTCACACAGAGTCCCTACTGAGGCACTGCCTAGTAGAGCTGTAAGAAGAAGGCAACTGTCCTCCAGACCCCAGAATGGTAGATCCACCAACAGTTTTCACTGTGTTCCTGGAAAAGCCACAGACACTCAGTGACAGCACATGAAGGCAGCCAGGAGGGGTGCTATACCCTGCAAAGCCACAGGGGCAGAGCTGCCCAAGACCATGGGAAACTACCTCCTGCATCAGCGTGACCTGGATGTGAGACATGGAATCAAAGGAGATGATTTTGGAACTCTAAGATTTCACTGCCCTGCTGGATTCTGGATGTTCCTGGGGCCTGTAGCCCCCTTTTTTTTGCCCAATTTCTTCCATTTGGAACGGCTGTCTTTGCCCAATGCCTGCACCCCCATTGTATCTAGGAAGTACTTAACTTGCTTTTGATTTTACAGGCTTATAGGCAGAAGGGACTTGCCTTGTCTTACATGAGACTTTGGACTGTGGACTTTCAAGTTAATGCTTAAATGAGTTAAGACTTTGGGGGATGGTTGGGAAGGCATGATTGATTTTTAAATTTGAGGACATGAGATTTGGGAGGGGCCAGAGGCAAAACGATATGGTTTGGCTGTGTCTCTACCCAAATTTCATCTTGTAGTCACACATGTTGTGGGAGGGACCAGGTGGGAGATTACTGAATCATGGGGGCTGGTCTTTCCCATGGTGTTCTGGTGATAGTGAATAAGTCTTACGAGATCTGATGGTTCTAGGAGGGAGAATTTCCCTACACAAGCTCCCTTCTGCCTGCTGCCATCTATGTAAGGTGTGACTTGCTCCTCCTTGCCTTCCACCATGATTGTGAGGCCTCCCCAGGCATGTAGAACTGTAAGTCCATTAAATCTCTTTCTTTTTTGAATTGCCCAGTCTCTGGTATATCTGTATTTGCATCATGAAAATGAACTAATACACATATATAGTATACTATATACACTCAGATATATAATAGAATAATGAAAACCTTTGTTAATTATCTATTCATTTTGTTCTTAGTGTATTGCTAAATTATTATCACAAAATGCGTCTCTCTTGAGGAAGAGAGTCATGATAGAAAAGCTGAAAATGCATCTATAGAAAACATAATTGGCAGTATTGCCTTATGTCATATAGACAACCCACAAGAAAGCTGTTTTACTTACCTATTTACCTTATGCTTAAAGAGATAGGAGGAGTCTTTAAAAGTTGATTTAAATTTAAAATAGTTGGAAAAAATGTCAAGGTCACTATCCATAAATCGAATAATATAAGTGTGAAGCACTACACTTTTGATGACATGTACTTAAACCACATAAGATAATGCCATATGAATAAAATATTGCATTACCTAGTTTTAATTCAATCAACAATTTTAAATTTAAAATAAATTTTATTATTTTAAATAAGTTACTTCAATGTGGAATAATAGAAGATAATCAATTATTACATAATTAAATTTGGGGAAGTCTTTGTGGTAGCCTTCCCATAATTTGAGAAGCATGAAGGAAAATATCTCTTCTAGAATCTGTGTGTTTATTGTTCAAGATTTACTAAATATCTAAAGTTGTAGAAAATTGTAATCTTTTAAAATTTTCTTGAGAAAAATATAATTATTGAATAATATATTGTTATTAACTGTAATTTTTAATATTTACAAATATAAGAAGATGAGGTTAAATTATGTGTGATTTTTTTTTTTTTTTTTTTTTTTTTTTTTTTTTTTTTTTTTTTTTGAGACGGAGTCTCGCTCTGTCGCCCAGGCCGGACTGCGGACTGCAGTGGCGCAATCTCGGCTCACTGCAAGCTCCGCTTCCCGGGTTCACGCCATTCTCCTGCCTCAGCCTCCCGAGTAGCTGGGACTACAGGCGCCCGCCACCGCGCCCGGCTAATTTTTTGTATTTTTAGTAGAGACGGGCTTTCACCTTGTTAGCCAGGATGGTCTCGATCTCCTGACCTCATGATCCACCCGCCTCGGCCTCCCAATATGTGTGATTATTTTAAATAGAAATTTACATAATACCTTAGGCCTTCCTTGAATATTGAAAATTCATAAAAGATAATCCTGGTATAATATGATGGCTGATTATGTAAATCCTGTAATCAGTAATACAAATCAGAATTTTCAAAATAAATTAGTTTTTACATCATATGTTCCCAGTGACATTAACTATTAATAGCCCTAACACTTAACATTTGTGCCTTTATTGTTAATTCCATATAGCGCTTTACTCTTTGTCCAACCTTGTAAAAATAACTTAGAAATACGTCTTAATTAATTTTTTAGAGTGTATGCTCCTTAACTCAGGGTGTGCTAATTAGCAATCTTTCCTCATTGCCTGAGAAATAATCAAATTAGAACAGATTATACAGATAATCTAGTTTATTCTTTATTCTGGAGGTGACAAAGGAGAAAAAAGAGAAACTTTGACCTTTCCATTGATACATGTATAAAGACCAATCTACCTATGCATGACTAGAGCTCTGATCCTCAGACTCCTAGCCATGTATCCCTTTACCTGCCCCCAAATCTGCCCCATGATCCAGATGTAGATACTAACATATTCCCTTCATTAATAACTATATTTCCATTAATAAGCAGTCTAGAGACTCTACATGTGTGAGAAAGAGCCCAACAATAGTTAATTGCCACAAAGATACACTAGAAAGCAGCATCAAGATAAAACACATGAGAATGGGATTGAGGAAAATCTTCTCACCGAGGAATAACTATAGGAAGACTATGACTTGCAAATTTCTCTTCTCTTCAAGATCCTCTCTGTCTTTCCCTATCTCCATCTCTATTTCTCTTCACTCCCTTCAAGACACACTGGATTTTAATTTTGTCCTTCTATTACCTATGAAGGAGAAGGACTAAAAACTAGAGGTACTACTGCAACATCAAGACCCTTAATGAGAAAACAGGAAACATTAATGGGAAAGGAAAGGAATAGGAAAGGAAATCATTAAATTTCTCTAATTAGTGTCCAACACCTCTCAGATCCTGTCATATCTGTATTTGCTTTCTCTATCATCAAAGACATTATCTCTATTCACAACACCCAAGAAAGTTTTAGACGGCCCATCAAGAAAGATTTCCAGTTACATGCAAGACCAAGTTACTCAATGGCCCTCTTTTCCTATACTAGTGAATTTGAGTATTAAAGACAATCTCAAAAGACAGTCCATCACAAACCCAGAAAATCTAATTAGGACATTTTTCCCAATACTGCATTTCACTCCTCTAAAGCATTTAAAATTTTATTTTAAACTAATGTTATATTTTACATAATGAGTTTTGTGTCACAAATGCAACTATTGAATAGTTATTAAAAGTTTAGATATTTGATTCCAGGAAATATGGCAGATGAAATCTCCTTTTCTGTCAATTCCCCCCACCCCTTCAAATTTAGCTGTTATTTTTGCTCTTAGGGGTGACATGCATTTCCTGTTATACAATCTTAATTAAAGCAGATCCCTTCCCTTGTTTTTTTCACTAGAGAGTCTGTTTCATTTCTATTTATTTCAATTTACATAACTACTTGTCTATTCTGTCTTGAAATTTCCTCCAAAACTTAACAGAAGCAAGGAAATACACATTCCTAATATTCTCAAAGTTCTTCTATTTCCCCATCCCAGGTACCAGTTTTACATGAGGCTGTTGTTCAGGAGCCAGGCCTTCTGATACAAAGTTGTGTGGAAAGAGAGTACTTCCTGTTTCTTGCATATTCACGCATAGTTTTCAAGAACTGTTTAGTTCTAAGGGTGCATTTTGCTCCTCCTAGATTTTTTTATGGATTGAAATTAATATCAATCTGTCTTTAGAATCTCAATGCAAACCTATTGATGGCAAAGGTAGGATGTTTCCAGGCTGAGAGTGATACATGCATTCTTATATCTACAGTTACACCTAGGAGACATGAACCCTAGAGACTACCTATTGTCCCAGTCTCCTGAGGTCACAAAAAGACAATTAAAATTAATCACAATTATCTGATGTAATTGCAATATACTACAAAACCTGCAAAAAATTATAAGAGCATTAGGAGCACTGCATATAAAAAAATTTATATTTAAAAGTCATCTTCCTCAGCCCTCTGATAACTCCCATATATTTCTATAATTATAAGAATATGTGTAATTTTAAGATAATTGTTATCAAATACTGATTGAGTGACTACTATTTGCCTTACATTATCCTTTTCTTCAATACTGCACACTGGGACCATATTGAAAAATATGAAGGTCTAGCTTTCAGGTTGTCCTGACTTATTTATAGTTAAAACAGAAATATTTACAAAGCAAACATTGAATTGGATAAATGATATAGTCCCTGTTAAATCTCTGTCTTATTCTTTAGTTCTTTTCCCTGCTGTCTTCTCCACCTATTCTGACTAGTGTCTCCTCTGCTTGGAATTCTTTTCCTTAGGTTTTGGTCAAATGTAAAGTTTTTAGATAAGCCTTCTGTGAACACACTATTATAATCTGAGAGTTCCCTTACTGCCAAACTTTATTGTTTAAAATACTTAACATGGTTAAAACATATTTTTAATCTTTACATATTGCATTTATATTATAGTACATCCTCACTTAACATCCTCAGTAGGTTTTTGGAAATTGTGACTTTAAGTGAAAAGATATACAATGAAACTATTTTTTTTCATCAATGGTCGAACAAAATGACATTATTTGAGGACAAACTATACATTGTTTCCTTAAAGTTACACTTTCCAAGAACCTATTGATGATGTTAAGTGAGACTTTACTATTTGTTTTTTGTTTCTTCCTACTAGAACAAAAGTTCCAGGAAAGCAGGGATTTTTCATTTTTTCTTCACTGATATGTTCCAAGCTCCCACATCAGTAATTAGCTCAAAGTGTATGTACCAGGAATAGGTATTGAATGATAAATATTCCCTTCTATATAACTGAGAATAGAGCCAAACCTACCAATGCTTTGGGAAATCAGAGCACAGAGAGAAGATCACACACACACACACACACACACACACACACACACACACACTGGAAGTTTTTAGAAAATGCGATGTTTTAATATAAATATATGCTATTGTCATCTTTTAATGGAGTGAAAGATATGTCACCCCAAAATATGCCAGATTGGTATATTGATTATTTTGAGTGAAAAACATTGAAGAACTTACAGTTTCAGAAAGGATGAACTGATCTGTCTCTTCCTGCATGCAGCCAGTGATGAAGTTTCCTCTGGGATAGGCATCCTCTCATCCCAGGGCTAGAATGTGGCCCTTATGACCATGGACTTGAACTTAGAGACTACAAGGGACCTGAATAAACATACCTAATGAAAAATCCTTATCTTCCACATGGTTTACAGCCACCTCATCTATGTCATAGTGATTCCCCTAGAAAACTTCACTCTCTTAGCCAGATTTTCTTTGTCCTGTCATTCTTCTAAAATTGATTGTTCTTTGTCTACAAAGTATAAAAGTATCTTGTTTAGGTTATTTTTCAGACATCACTGACATGTGAAGATCCCCAGGTATATGAGAAACTATAAAATTTGTATAATCATTAATTTTTTTATTGTAGGTTTCAAAGGTATGAGTGCAGGTTTGTTCCATAGGTACACTTGCCTCATGGGGGCTGGTTGTACAGATTATTTCATCAACCAGGCGTTAAGCCTAGGCATTAACAGATTATTTCATCACCCAGGCATTAAGCCTAGGCATTAACAGATTATTTCATCACCAAGGCATTAACCCATTCGTTGTTTTTCCTGCTCCTCTCCCTCTTCCCAACCTTCACCCTGCAAGGGCTGCAGTGTGTGCTGTTTCCCTCTATGTCTCCATGTATTCTCATCATTTAGTTCCAAGTTATAAGTGAGAGCATGTGGTATCTGGTTTTCTATTCCTGTCTTAGTTTGCTGAAAAGAATGACCTCCACCTGCATGTATGTCCCTGTAAAGACCATGATCTCATTCTTTTTTATGACTGCATAGTATTCTATGGTGCATATGTACCATATTTTGTTTATGCACTCTATCTTTGCTACGCATTTAGGTTGATTCTATGTCTGTGCTATGGTGAATAGTGCTGCAATGAACATATGCATGCATGTGTCTTTATAATAGAATGATTCGTATTCCTCTGGGCCAATACCCAGTAATGGAATTGATGGGTCAAATGGTATTTTTGTCTTTAGGTCTTTGAGGAATCGCCACCCTGTCTTCCACAGTGGCTGAAATAATTTACACTCCCACCAATAGTGTATAACCTTCCTTTTTCTCCATAACCTGGCCAGCATCTGTTATTTTTTGACTTGTTAATAGTAACTATCCTGACTGGTGTTAGGTGGCATCTCGTTGTGGTTTTGATTTGCATTTCTCTATTTAACAGTGATATTGAGCTTTGCAAAATTAACCTGTTTTCAATTTGGTTTCTAGTTGAAGAGCCCACTAAGAGCTAAGAGGGGTTCAGGGTGATCTCTGTATCCCCTACAGAAATTGGCCCCAACTTGGGGCCATCCTTTACTGGTTGGAACATTGCTCTCTCCAGAACTGCTGCAGCTGAGATCCTGGACCTCTGACAAAAGGACTTCAGAGGTCAGATTTCTATCTGTCAGCTTCCTGGATCTCTGTTGTAGGGGCTGTTTGAGAGGAGAGTGGTAAGACTCTGTCTTTTTCCCTCTCTAAATTGGAATTGGCAGGAGAAAACATTTGTGAACTAGTTGTTTCAGTAAAAAGTGACTTTTGGTGTTCTTGTGAATACTCTTGATTTCTACTTGATCCTTTTGATCTCAGAAATTGTCTTCCTTTATCTTTGTCTTTTTGTGTCATTTGTCCTAAGGAGAGGGACCATAAGGTAGCGCACACAGGTACAAGTCAGTCTGAAAAGATTGAGGAATGGAGGCACATGATTTTAAGCAGCACTGTCTTTGTCCAAACATGCCAACCTCTCACGGTGTTTGTCATCTCAACATTGTTCCCTGGATTTGTGCTCAAAACTCCCATCTCAGTGTTGCCTGCCCCAGTGTCACAGATTATCAGACCTATATTGAAGGTGTCTCACATTCAGTGAGAGACTAGAGATCTGTGAGTGAATTTTTGGAACATGGAGGCTGCACTTTCTGCACTCACTCCAGAAAGACCCCTTTTATCCCTAGTAAAGGTTTATTCTAAACCTAGGAAGTTACCTCTTGGTCTTTCCATAAAAAAGCTTGTTGGATTAAGTCACCATTGGACTATACACACCAGTGAAGATCCTAATTATCAATGGAAAAAAGGCAAATATTTGAATTAGAAAAACTTCTGTATTAAAAAATATTAGAGAACTCTCATTCTAAACAATTTGGATATTGGTACTTATGAAAAGATCAGATAGAAGGAATAACTCAGCAAAGTATAAAACTAGTCTTAAAATTTATCTTAACAAAATTAAATAACAAACAGCAGACCTAGAGGAAAAGTTGAAATCAGCTCCCACTGTAAGTCCCACTGCTCTACCCACTTACATCCCACTTGATAACCAGCTCTGTCCCTGACCAAGCAGAAAATCTACTGGATCTCTGGACCTCTGGTTTGAACACCTGGAAGCGGCATTTTTGTCCAATGATGCTGCAGGTTCCTCTCTGGTGAACCATCAGTGCTTCCAGAGCATGGTGATACTGAAGTAAAATGGAGGCAAAAAGGCCAAACAATCAACTTCTGATTAGAGTGTTTTGATTTTTTAACATTTATTTTGCGTTCAGGGGTACACGTGCAAGTTTGTTTTAAAGACAAATTGGTGTCACAGGAATTTGGTATATAGATTATTTTGTCACCCAGCTAAAAAGCATAATACCCGATAGGTAGTTTTTAATTCCTCGATTGTTTTTAATATTTGAACCAAGCACGCATGCCAAAACTTCACCTAACAAAATCACTGTTATATTTTTAATACTATTAAATGCCCAATCTGTGTTTAAATTACCCCAATTGTCTCAACGACATACTTTTCCAGTTAGTTTGGATCAAGAGTCAAATAGTTGTGGTTGTTATAGCCAGTTTACTTTGTTATATAACCATTCTTTGTGTGAGAGCCTGTGTGTGTGTGTGTGTGTGTGTGTGTGTATACCCACATGTTAGGTAATATTTTGCAAGGGAAAATAATAATTCAGCACTCTCTGTATTTTGCTTAGTGCTTTATTTTGTGTCATTTTATTTATTTCTGTACTAATTCTTTTTAACTAATGCTGAGACCAAGAATATTTATTAGCTTAGTTTCCTTCTTTTACTTTTTTTTAACAAAGCAAAAATTCTGGCTGGGTGTGGTGGCTCACGCCTGTAATCTCAGCAGTTTGGGAGGCCAAGGGGGGCAGATGACGAGGTCAGGAGATCAAGACCATCCTGGCCAACATGGTGAAACCCCGTCTCCACTAAATATACAAAAATTAGCCAGGCATGGTGGTGCACACCTGTAGTCCCAGCTACTCAGGAGGCTGAGACAGGAGAATCTCTTGAACGCAGGAGGTGGAGGTTGCTGTGAGCTGAGATCTTGCCACTGCACTCCAGCCTGGCAACAGAGTGAGACTGTCTCAAAAAAAAAAAAAAAGCAAAAATTCTTCATAGATGATTCTGACTACTGTACATTGCAGTCCATTGAGAAGCACATGGTAACTGGTTGATGATAACTGTTTGTCCAACTTTTAGTGATGATCATTCTGATCTCTGAATTCAGGTTGTGTCAACTTAGTTACTTCATCTTAAAATTATCCACAAACTTTTTGCCTAATGATTATTATGTCTGTTGAAATCATTACCTTTATTCATTTTTTAAATGTGGAGTTCTACAGTTGTGATTGTCCAATTTCATCCTTGTTTATGCTTTTATTTCTTCTGAAATTCACCTCATTAATCAGTAGGTGATGCTGACATACTATTCATATAGGAAAAATAGAATAAATATATATATTATTTAATTACTTATTTTCAGAGTAATGAATTGGTGCCCTAATATCCATTGATATTAAACAATGGCTTATTTATTTTTTTCTTTTTCAGTACCTAGATTTAAATCTATATGAGGACTTTAAATCAATTGTAATCAATATCCATTTTTATGTTTAAAAAGTTTTTTCTGACCATAAACCAGCATCAGCCATTTCAAATTGCTTCCTATATCTCTTTGAGACAATCTGATTAGCTGCTGATAGTATTCTATCTTTCTGGAGCATTAAATTGCCCAAAGCTCATCTTGCCTATTTTCCACCCTAGACTTCAAATTAGCCATTTCTCCAAGAAGCCCTAGTTTTGTTCCTAGGGGAAAGGTTTCTTTTTAGAGAAAATTTGGAGAATGTTGCTTGAATTTGTATAGTATTTGTTACCAAATATTTGTGTTTATTTAGTCATTCATATAAAAGTTAGAAATAATTTTGAAATATGGTTTCTCATTGTTTTCAGATTAAATGTTTATTTTCATTCATTTTGTATAAACTGGACTAAACTTGTAGAGATTTCTGAACCTGATAATACTGGGAATGCTATATCAATTCACATTTGACAATTCCATAAAAACCTCATATAAATATATGCTCTAGGCTTTAGAAACATTGTAGCCTCTGTTTGGGTTGTTCATTTGGATTGAAAACAACTTTTGAGACTGGTTCAGTGAAATGGAACTTGTGTATGTATTAACTTCCAGAAAGCATCCTTCACGTCTTTATTCCTTAGGCTGTAGATCAGAGGGTTCAGCATGGGGTTGACAACTGTGTAAAATACAGAGGCCACTTTGACTGTTTGCCGAGAGTTTTTGGAGTTGGGTACACAGTAAAGGAAAAGGATGGTCCCATGGAAGATGGTGATAGAAGTCAGGTGGGAGGCCCAGGTGGAGAAGGCTTTGTGGCGCCCACTAACAGAACGGATTTTTAGTACAGTCACAAAAATGAAAACATAGGAAGTGAGGATGATCAGTAGTGTACACATCTCATTGAAGGTGGCGAAGCTGAAAAGCAGCAGGTGGGGGATGAGTATATCAGAGCCAGACACAGAGATGAGAGCAGTATACTCACAAAAGAAGTGGTTGATTACATTAGGTCCAGAGAAGTTTAACCGGAGAGCATAACAAAGGAGTACCAAGGGGCCAAACATGCCCCAGAGATATGACCCAGCCACCAGCAGGGCACAGAGCCTCTGTGACATGGCCACTGTATAAAGCAGAGGATTGCAGATGGCCACAAAGCGGTCATAGGCCATCACTGCCAGCAAGAAAGACTCTGTCACCACAGCAGTGCAGGACAGGAAGTACTGCATCATGCAGCTAAAGTAGAAGATGCTTTTATCTGCCATTACCAAGTTCTCAAGCAGCTTGGGAGTGACAATGGAAGAGTAACAAAAATCAACAAAAGAGAGGTGACTAAGGAAAAAGTACATAGGAGTGTGAAATTTGGGGTTAATCTTGATTATTATGATCATCCCAAGGTTTCCTACCACTGTGATAACATACATGAGCAGAAACACAAGGAAGAGAGGAATCTGAAGCTTTGGGTAATCTGTGAAACCTAAAAGGGCAAAGGTGGGCTCCATGCTCAGATTCCTTAAAACCATCATCATAATTCCTTTTAATGGAAGGGTTGAAGAGAATTGTTCCTGCCAAAGCAAAATATGGGGTGAGTGATAATTATGTCATGACTTTCTTTGATTAAAAGGAAAAAAGGAGAAGGAATAGTTACTGGTCCTAGTTTTGTCCAAGAAGAACATACCTCATGCAGGCAGCTGTTATGTCTAAAACAAACCAAGCCAAGTCTTTGGAGTGTCTTTCCATTTTTATTACACTTTCTGTTTTCATACATATATATATGTGTGAATATATATGTGTATGTGTATGTGTGTGTATATGTGTACAGTAGTATACATGTCTACACATTAACTAGTAGCATGACATGCACATAACTTATAGAAAATGTTTATACATAAATATATAAACTAATAAAGATTCTGTGGAAAATGTAAAATATTTACATCAAACAACAACATGCATTGCTACTGTATTTGTTTATATAGACAAATTGATTAAAATATTCAGAATATATTTCTATTCTAAGGATAAAGGAAAATATTGTAGAAATCTGGAAAAAGAGCACACTAATTCCACTTTTTACCAACTTTTATTCTAGAAAGGCTACTTCTCTCATTGAATATCTTAGTTGCTGAGGAGTTGACAAGGACAATGGCCTACTTTTGACCTCTTGGTGGAATGGGCATTTTATTGGGGTTTATGACTTAAGGGTCAGCATCTACTATAGCTCAGGTATTGCATAAGTATCTTATAAGAGTCTCAAGATTTATCAGGTGAAAGTTCCCTTAAGCCTGACTAGTTTTCAATCTTATAAAAATTTACACACTAATTTAAGATGAATATAAAGGAAATATGGATAAATATCCATTTCCAAGTAGCAAGTTTATACTATTCATCATGAGATAATTTTCAATGGATATAAGGCTAAATATTTTCATGAGTGTTGACCTCATTTTTTAATATTATTGGGCACAGAATTGAATAACACAGTGATTTAACATTTAAAAAATCAAAGGCCCCATTTGCCGTATCAGGAAGACCCTATTTTCAGTTTCATAGAAAGCCTGAATACACTTACCTGCTACATACAAAGAAACAGGCTGCCACCCTCCTGTCTCTTCAGACAGTGTATACCTGAGGCACCAAGACTCTTTCATTTAACTTCATAGCCCTAGGGACTCAAACTCTGGAGAATCACTAACAACTTACTCTTTACAAGCATCAAAACAGGCAATTAAGGCAAATACCAAGTCTCTTGTGTCACATTTAGTGACTGGAATTTCCTTGAAACTACTCAGAAAAAAAAATGCAGCATGAAGTTAACTATCAAGCTTTGCTTGCATGTAATTCAAATTACAATAAAACTTTAAATACTTGCCTCATCTGTTCCAAAATTCAGTGCACCTCTTAGTGAGATATAATCTATCCTGCATGCATCCTGGGTATAAATATGCAGCAGCCAATAGCACTCCTATTCCTGAAAACACAAGTAAATTTCATAATCAAGTGCTACAGATGTCCGTGGCCCATACCTTGCTGTATTGCTTCTTCTTGCTCAGCCTGAATTTGTGTCTCATGGGGCATTCCCTATGGCAACCTGAATGTGGAAGAAAGCATAGGAGCCTCATTTTCAGATGATTCCCCATGATATGCTGGCCCACACAAAAGTGAATAACTGCAGGACTGTAATCCTACCTTAAGGTGGCCCTGAAAAGCAACAGTTAAAGACAAATATTCTAGTATTTACAAATTCAAAAAGTATGCTTGGAACATGAGGAACACCTTTTGAAACTTAGTTACAGGGCAGGTTCTTTGGCAATACCTTAGAAGGATGGAGTAATAGCCTCCTGAATATATTATATGCTTGAAATCTGCAACCAACATACATTGCTGTTCCTCCAATAATTTGTGAGACCTAGAACTTTCCCATAAGAGAAACCATGAGCTCTAAGGGTTTAGAGGTTTTATCTCCCAAGTGTGTCATGCTTCCACTAGAGAACACAGTGATTGATTCATTAAATTGGAATTGTGACTTGTTTGACCAAGAAAATATTGCAGGAGTGACGTGAGCATTCTGAGTTGAGGCATCAAAAGGCATTGCAGTTTCTTTCATTCTCTTCAAATGCTGCTCTGAGAACACCACATAATAAAACCATTGTACCCTACAAGCAGATGAGAAACTCCTTGGGAAAATACTGAGACACCACAACCAATGGCCAGCACCAAGTCAGGTAACAAGTGAGTGATGCTATCTTGGAAGCGTTAGCTCCATCAGAATCCCCAAGTAAGTTCAGCAACGTGAGTGAGCCCCAGTGAGACTGGAAGAAGAACCACCCAGTAAGTCCAGAGAATGGTGAGAAATATCAAACTGCCTTCAGCCACTAAGTGCTAGAGTGTGTTTTCCTTGGCAAAAAGCAATTTAAGTATGTTCTGAGTTAACAATTTCCATGGATTGATTTGCTTACAAAGTTAGTTGCAATATCCATTATTCCTGTAGAACTAGGCCCACATGTTCAGAGCTGAGCATGTAGCTGATTTCAGATGCGTCAATCACAGTGGGCAACCAAATATATATACATGCATATATATACATGATCATCTATACATGCATGTATGTATATGTATGTTTATATATATATATACACACAAATATATGTTTATACATATATGCATGTAAAAAGACAGAAATAGACATAAGGCAGAATTCAAAAATTATGTAAATAAACTTCTAATTCTAAACTTCATTACATATAAATGGTATAATACCTGCTTCTTTCCTGGAATTATTTCTTATCATTGCCAAAATATAGAAAGGTAAGATATAATTTTCCAAATTTGGATGAAGAAATAATGTTTTCATACCCAATATGTCAACTGATGTGATTATATTTTCATCAGAAAACATTTGGTCAAAAGTGTGTTCTGTATATGTAAGTGTATGCGTGAGTTAAAACAAATAGGACACAAAATTCACAATAAGTCCCTCTGTGTGTAGTGGAATCTTGTGTAATGAAACCATTACGACTTGATTTCTGTACTAGTGGAATCAGATTGTATGACCATAACACATCTTGCTCATTTATTTTATATCTATTAAGGCTGTTTCCATTTTTTTTGTTATTGTAAGCAATATGAAACTGAACATTGTTGAACATCTCTTCTGACGTGAATGAGCTTGAGTTTCTTCAGAGCAGTTATTTGGCATAATTTTTCATGTCATAGGTTACAAGAAAATATTATTGTATGATATACAAGGATAAACTGAAAATGGTTTGTTCTTTTTCCAATTTTAGCACCATTATATTTATTTTTTAAATTAGTTTGTATAGATATCTTTATATTATGGATATTAATCTCTTGTCAATTAAATATATTTCAAAATTTTTCTCTCATTCTCAGATTTTTTTCCATGTGCTAATGGAATACATTTTAATTTTAATGTAGTCCCATTTATTTTGCTTTCTAAATCTTCAAAATGTTAGCCTACTCTGATATCATAAAGATATTTTCCTTTATAGCCTTAAAAGAAGCCAAATCTTATAAGAATTCTTTATGGAATCATTAATATAGAAGGCAAGAATACATTGCTTACAGAGATATTTTCACTGGTGTTTTGCAAAGTTTTTACATTTCTTAGATCCCTTTTCCTGTGAATTTTGCAAAATTATTACGGAACCCTAAAAAATTGAAGTACACTTTAGCAATGCTGGTAGCAATGTATTATTTTAATATTTCCAATTAACAAAAAATATTACTAGGCCAATGTCTAAAAGCAGTTTTGCTGATGTATGTAAAATTATCCACAAGTATTCTGAAACTTAATACAAGCTGCAAATAACTTTCTTCCATCATGATAAACCAGAATCTGTCTAATCCAGAGATATTATTGATAATTAAATCCAGAATACTACCTGTTTGCATTTCTGTGACTAGGTTAATCAAATGAACCAAAATTTTCTGAAATGTTAATTACAATATTGAAGAGACTTTTCATGTTTTCTATAATCTAAATTAAGTTTGAAGGAAAAGATCTCTAAATTGAACCTAACAATTTAAAAAAATTAATCCCAAACCTAATTATGAGATATATTGTTGATAATGGAAGCACTGTTTTTGTGGTGCTGGCAAATGTAAAATGGTCAAAAAGTTATAGAGTATCCAGCTTAAACTAAATACTTAAAATTAGAAAAAGAAAGTTTCCAACAGTACAATAATTAGCAGCACAAGCATTCATATAAAGAAACGTGGTCATCTTTGATTACCTTACACCTGTTCTTTGGCTTTTAAAAAATGAGATGGGAGCCATATTCGTTGAGGAGACATCACCAGAAGTCTTACCTAGGTAAATAAGGCATAATGCTAAATATTATCAATTTAGTCTGAATTTTTTCTTTCTTTCCCTCTGTAATTCATCCAGTACATTGAAGGCTGAATTTCTAAGTTACTTTTCTAAGCATTGGAGATTGAAGAAAAAATAAAACAGAAATTTCAGCCATCTTGGAACTTGTCTTCTACTGGGAGAAACAAATAACAAACAAATAAATTATTACATGAATTTAAAATATCACCTACAGCTATGAAAGAACATTAATCAGGTTAAGGGGATAGGGGCAACCATCACATTATATTAGGTTGTCAACTATGGATTCTGTGAGAAGGTGATATTTGAATAGAAACATACATACTTTCATTGAACTATACTTATTAAAATTGCTTTCAATGCTAAAATATTTTGAAGTCCATCAGCTTCTGCAGAGATTCATTCACATTTTTGTACCGCATGCTACAAGTCTGTGAGTTCAGCATGGGGATTAACATGGCATAACATACAGAGTGTGCTTTCACAGTTGCCTGTGAGTTTTTGGAGTTAGTGCACTAGAGTGAGGAAGGATGGTGGAAATGTGGGAAATGGGTGGAGAAGGTTGATGTGCACTGGCAGAAAGTGCCTTTTAGACAAGTTGAAAATGAAAGCTAAGGAGTGAGGACTCTGAGATTCCTTAATTAATCAAAATTGACTAAAGCAAAACAAACAAACAAACAAAAATCCGCTATCCAGATGAACTCACGAATCTGAAATGGCAACAGAATATTTATTTTAAAATATATTAACTACATTGTGCCCACAATAGGCAATACAATGAGAAAATGAGTGACCGGGGATAGATTATATGCCCTGGTCTAACATCCTGCTGGATGGATGGAGCAAAACTTCTGGGACATGGTGAGTGTATAATGCACAGGGCTTTCTCAACTCCTGCTCTACTAGTTTCCACTGACTTGCTCTTGAAAAGCTTTGTCTGCAAAGATTTAAACAATGCAAAGAACTTACTTTAAAGGGAGAGTATGTATGTTAAGATGTATACAAGAATCATGAAAACTTTTTCTTTAAATGTTTATGTTTTAAAAAGTACTGTTATGTTTTCATAATTATTAAAATTTATCACTAAAATCATGTTATTGCCAATAGAAAAAAAGAAAAATAAAAACTTATTTTAAATTGCCTCTAGTGACTCTACACACAATTAGACATGAGTGTTGTTTAGACATATATATATGTCTAACAATATATATGTTTTATGTTTA
Organism: Homo sapiens; assembly: GCF_000001405.40. NCBI lineage: Eukaryota > Metazoa > Chordata > Mammalia > Primates > Hominidae > Homo > Homo sapiens. The sequence goes on along the minus strand of NC_000011.10, from coordinate 55,790,007 downwards.
ACAGCATATATATTTTATGATCTGATATTTACTTGTTATATAAATTTCTTAAGGCCACCACAAAAAATTACTGAAAATTATATATATATATATGTGTATATATATATATATGTTTGCTTATATCCTTGATATTCAGAGAGGATCTAAGGGCCAGTAACACCAGGATCACTTGAAAGTTTGCTAGAAATGCAGAATCTCCTGTACCAGAATGGACATTTTACAAACAACCCTCCCAGGTGATTTGCATGTATATGAAGGTCTGAAAATCACTAACTTTGATTACCCTTGATATGATGGAAATTCTGGTGATGTAGCAAGATATCATAATGAATTAAAAGTACATAAATAAACATTCACTTTTTACTCAGTTTTTTGTATTGTTCTTTGTCTCCTTCTTTTTTCTTCTATTCACAAACTCAGGATCAAAGACAATTTATCCTGTCTCCATATACAAGACAATATAGCAGCAAGTATGTAAGAAACACATTTACTCTGAAGGATAATTATTGATAATGCTTAATTTGTCATATGTGTGTTGAAAGAGAGAGTACTATTTTGCATCCTTTAATAACACAACATCGTATACACACACCAAGAAAACCACCCAATCCAAGGTGAAATTAAAACTGAAAGTTTTCATTTTATTTCCCAGGGTTAACAAACTTTGGGTCACATTATCTGGAAAATGTGTAATACAATATATTAGTAATTGCTCAGAATTATAGTGAAGTTATCTCTGATCCATGGTGCTCAGCTTAGAAAAATTAAAAATAAAAAAGGTTTATTTTATGTTTTATAGTTGTCTATTCACTCACATATACAGGAGAAGGTTTGGTGGTATATTTTATAGTATAAGGTGGAGTTGAAAGCTTTATTTGATGTGAACGTGGTAACTCTGGGTTAACAATTAATATTTAATCACTAAGGTGATATGAAGGAACAATACCAGGCTGACACAGTCCTTGTCCTGGGGAAACTTATGTAACACAAACCATGATTAGCAAGAGATAAACAGAGATAACATTTTGTCTTAAAAAGCAAAACAGAGATTATATTACTTATTTCTGAAATTTATCATGATATCAACTCTTAGTAAATAGAATTTAAAGAATGAAGTTTAACACATAAATTTGTGAGATTAACAATGTTTAAAATTTTTATCCTCTTGGTCATCTTTCAGGAACTTCACATAAAATCAAGATTTTTACTTGATATTCAGAGTCATCATATTTAATATCACTGCCTACAAAAGCACTGGAGGATGTGAGGGAGAAAAGAACAAGAATTCAGTAGGATCTTAGAGACCGTGTCCCAGCTTGTCATTACTTATTCTTACAAATGCACACTCCTATTCAGCTTTTTAGATCTGCCCTGTAACCCTGACATTCTCATTGCTAAACTGGAATTGAAGAATTGTTTTTTGAAAATTTATTTACCATGCCAAAAGATAAAACAAGAAATTTAGGTTTTATGATCTAATATCTACTTGTTATATAAATTTCTTAAGGCTACCACAAAAAACATTATCAAAAAATTGGCAGCTTAAAACAACTAAAATTTATTTTCTCATGGTTCTCAAGACCAGAAGTCTGAATCAAGGTGCTGGCAGGACTCTGCTGCCTCTGAAGGCAGTGGAGGAGAAACTTTCCTTGCTCCACGGCTTGTGGCAGCAAAACACCATTTCCCTCTGTCTGCACATGACTTTCCTCCCTGTGTGTCTTCCTGTTGTCCTTTATTATCTCTTATAAGAACACCCTCATTGGATGTTCTTGGATTTAGTTCCCACTTTAATCCGCTTAGCCTCATTATATTAACAATGATCCTATTTCCAAAAAAGATTACTTCTGAGGTTCTGGGTGAACTTAAATAGCTTGGGAGACAACATTCAACTCACAGCACTTGTTATAGCCCATATGGTTCACAACTATTTAGCTAAAAACAGAAGTGAATAAAAATCAAATGATCACGTAACTGGCTTCTTAAAATAGATTTAAAAATCTGACTGGCGAATTGACTAAATAATGCAAATTATTCTTTACTAAAAGCATCGAGCAAACCTCAATATAATACATTGAATTCGTTTTGGGAACATAAGTCTTTAACAAAATTGTATTGAGTGATTCATTAACTTTCGAACACTCTCTTTCACGTCTTTGTTCCTGAGGCTGTAGGTTAAAGGGTTCAATGTGGGGATGATGACTGTATAAAACACAGAACCTACTTTGACTATGAGCCATGAGTTTTTGGAGTTGGGTACACAATAAAGGAACAGGACAGTCCCGTGGAAAATAGTGATGGCAGTCAGGTGGGAAGCACAGGTAGAGAAAGCTTTTTGGTGCCCAACAGCAGAAGGCATTTTTATGACAGCAATAAAGATGAAAATATAGGTAGTGAGGATGACTCCCAAGCTGCTCACCTCATTGAATATTGCAATGACAAAACAAAGCATTTGGCTGATGTAGGGGTCAGAGCAGGAGACAGAGATGATGACAGAGTGCTCACAGACAAAATTATTGATGATGTTAGACCCACAGAAGGATAATGACAAGAGGAAATAGGTGAGTGTCAGAGAAGAGATTATACCCCATGTGTAGGGCCCTGCCACTAATGATGCACAGAGTTTCTGGGACCTGACAACTGTGTAGAGCAAAGGGTTACACACCGCCACGTATCAATCATAGGCCATCACTGCCAGCATGAATGTTTCTGCCACTGCACATATACACGCCAGGAAGAATTGCATGATGCATCCTGTGAAGGAGATGGTTCTGTCTTCCACAACCAAGTTCTCCAGCAGTTTGGGTGTAACTGTGGTGGAATAACAGAAATCAACAAAGGACAAGTGGCTGAGGAAAAAGTACATGCGGGTGTGGAGTTTGGGGTTGATCCTGATGATCATGATCATGCCCAGGTTTCCCAATACAGTGATTGTGTAGATGGTCAGGAAGACCAGGAACAGAGGAACCTGGAGGTCTGCATATTCTGAGAAGCCCAAGAGGGTAAATACGGCTCCAGAACTCTGATTTCCTTCAGCTAATGACATGGTTGTTGTTAGAGAAAATCTGAAATGATAATAATAAAAGTGATTATCATCTCCTACACATGTAACATTTACCCATGTGTCAGACTTTGTGCTGAAACATTAAAATATTAATTTAGATTTTTAAATAACATAATGAATTTTAAAATGAGTAGCCCCATTTATTTTTTGTACAAGGAAACTGAAGCATATATGAATTAGGAGCTTGTATGTGGTTAGACAGCTTGTTAGTGATGAGCTGGATTTTGAAGTTGACCCTGAACGGCAGAAGCTGCAGTATAGTGCAGTTATCCCTCCTTAGTCACAAGTGATACATTTCAAGACTCCTAGTAAATGCCTGAAGCCACGAATAGTACCGACTGCCATATATACTATGATTTTTCCCTATACATACATACCCATGAAAAAGTTTAATTTGAAAATTAGACACAGTACAAGATTAACAATAAACTAATAAAAGAAAATAATTACCACAATATGCTAACATAATTACTTTTGCACTTTGGAGACATGATTTAATAAAATAAGGGTCATTTGAACACAAGCATTGTGATGATGCTGCAACAGTTGATCTACTTTTTTTCTTCTTCTTCTTTGTTATAAATGATGAAAGGGACAGCTCCTAAGAAAGAGGGTAGCATCTGTAGCATGGGAATTCTGGACAAAGGGATGATTCATGTTCAGGCAGGATGGAATGGAATAGTGTAAGAATTCATCCTGCTACTCAGAAGAGCACACAATTTAAAACTTATGAATTTTTTATTTCTAGAATTTTCCATTTAAGGTTTTCACATGGCAGTTGACCACAACTGAAACATGGAAAGAAGAAACACAGATAAGGGGGTATTACTGTAGTTTTCTCTTAGATAGAAAAATCTCTTATAGTATTCTTAAAAATGTGTTTTTCACAGTTCCAGCATTCTGAAGGTCTGTGCTTTTCAATAGCATTTTTTTTTTTTTTTGAGATGGAGTCTCGCTGTGTCATCCAGGATGGAGTGCAGTGGTGTGATCTCTGCTCACTGCAACCTCCGCCTCCTGGGTTCAAGCGATTCTCCTGCCTCAGCCTCCTGAGTAGCTGGGACTACAGGTGCCTGCCACCACGCCCCACTAATTTTTGTATTTTGAGTAGAGGCGGGCTTTCACCATGTTGGCCAAGATGGTCTCAAACTCCTGACCTCAAATGATTCACCCATCTCTCAACAGCACTAATTTAACAATTCATATAAATTTAGCAGTAAAAATGACAAAGGATCTGTAAAGGTGAAGCACTGGAGGAGACAATATTGACATAGCTACGTGGCAGATGCTCAGTCTGAGGATTATAGGAATGACAGCTTTTATGAGTAACCACGGTAATTTTCTAGTTTTAAAATATATTTGGATGTTGAAGGAAACATAATTTTGCGTATCTTCAACCTTTCTGTTGATTCCATCTTTATGCTACAATAATTGCATTAGTTTTCTAAAATAATGTAGCAACCTAGTAAAATGATAGAGGTAAATTTTTGACACATTCCTTTTTTTATTTTCTTTCCTTCATAAGTGCTTTATCACTTAGTGTTACAGATGCTCTTAATATTCATCTAGATCCCTTGTTCATTATGTTTTAATTTTTTTATTATTTTTTAATCTGGTAGCTTTACTAATATATATATTATTAAATACTCATTGAATCTCTGAATTCAAGAGTAACATAAAATGTGTTTTGTCGAAGCCTTTCTTGTTATTTAGAGTAAGATAGAGAAATGTGGTAAAAATCACCAGTGGTTACATACTCACTCTCAAAATTTCTGGTGACAAGAACATTGCCACTCTAGATATTGAAGAGGCTTTTGATAAAATAAGGGTCATTTGAACCTTAAAGGTACATATGCGATTATCTTGTTTTGAGTCATGCAATCTTTGTTATATTTGGAAATATTATTTTGAGAAAGCACAGACATCTGGAATTATAAGTAGTTCATAATCACAAAAATCGCTTTAATTTAATGAAGATTTTAAAAATCAGTTGAGCCAGTAACAAACACATCTCCAAAGTGTTCACGTTAACACAAAATTATTTGTATAAATTCTATAAGGGGAGATACCATTTTAGTTTCATCTGACCACCTCAAAGTAGGAAGATACTGTTATCTCTTTCATAGATAAATTCAGTTTCTGACACACACGAAAAGATGCACGTTCATCATGAGGAAAAGAACAGGAGAATGACAAACAGCTCATGAAGGATCAGCATAGAGAAAAAAGCATGGGCTTTGACAACACAGACTTAATTTCAACTTCAGACTTTGTCATTTGCTCTGTGATCTTTCATAGATTATTCAAATTTTCTGAGCTTCAGCTTCCTTAGCAGTAAAATGAGAATAGCAATGACCAGATAACACAGATTTTATACACGTGTAAGTATTAAACGAGGAAATGATGCTAATGAACTCAATTCAAGGTCTGACAATTATAAAGTCCAGAAAATGTAGGCTTCCCCATCATCACTCCTTTTAATTATTTAGTTGTATGACAAGTTGGTATTATTTGTCAATCCTTATGTCATTATAAAACATCTGAGAAACAGATCAAAGGCTGAAGTAAGCAACACTAGACATGTAATTACAATTAAGGGCGTCAAAATTTAGTTCAGCTCTTCTTCCTGGATTTCCTTTGGCCTCTCCCTCTTCGTCCTAATTCATTCATAACTCTCCTTCTGTAAATCTGCTGTCTTTCCCTTTGTTTTTTCACAATTATCTGATGCTTTCTGGTCCTCTGTTTCTCATCTGAGGTTTGTGCCTGTGGAACATTTACCAAACTGCAATCAATTCTCTGGTAGATCATGGTACCCTCCACTGCGAGATTATAAATTGTTTCATTCCTGGGTCTTGTGGTTATTATGACTATCTCAGTTTCAAAAACTTCAATTGCTGTCTATAACCTAATTTATCAAATTTAAATTTGACTGCTTGATTTCACCTAAAGCCTTACCCTGGCTGTTCCCTTGTATTCAACCTTCTTTAATCATGCCAGTATTCTCAGTTTATAATGAATAATACATGCTTATTTATTCCTTGGCTTATTCTATTTTTCTTTTCTTTTACCTGGAACATTCTCTTTTTCTAGTCCACTGATGCAGAATTTGCAATTTATAAATCATTAGATGAAAGTCAGTATCACAAAGTAATGTTCCATTTGACTCTAACAATATCTTCCACATCTTGGTATACCTACAGGCATTATTATCAGGAAATCAAATGTGATATATTCTGTTTACTATTATTTTATGCTTATTACTCTTTCTACCACAATTTGAGAGGTTTTCATATTTTATAATATCTTTTTACAATTTTCAGTGTGACTGTACTTTGTTAGGTACATGGTAGATACCCTGAAAGCAAAAATGAGAATGTATGCCCCAGAGAAGGAAGAAGAGATCAGAACTCAACAAACTGAGCCCTTGGGAAGACAGACTCAGTTTATTTGGCACTTAGACTAATGCGGAGTTTCCTATTCAAAGATTTCAGGATTTCAGGGTGCCCCATATGAGTGAAAGATAACACGAGATATATCACTGACCTGAAGCCAATTCACCTGAAGATCCTAATCTCCACGGAAGTTTCCACTCAGAATTCAAGTATCACTTAAATTATTAAGAAGTTGATAAATATAGAAGGAGTCCACAATAAATTTAAATTAGTATTCTGAGAATATATTTCTTTTTTAATACACAGAAAAAAATCGGGGAAAGGAGGAGAAAAGGGAGAGAGAGAGGGAGGTTTTGAAGCTGATTCTTCTTCCTAGAAATAAAATCTAGGGTTTATGTAGGCCTTCATGACCTTGGGGTTTTAGACCCTAGAGAACTTTTACTGAACTATTTATTTTTAAAACACAAACTCAGAAATTAGATTAAATACCTACCTGTGTGGCATTTTGCAATAATGTAATTTCTTTTAAACCACTGAAGACAGTATCTCATCAAACCTATTCCATTAATTTATTTTAGAACTTTTCATGAGAGAAAATATACACATTCACCTAGAAAACATGGCATCGATAATATAACACAAAGGAAATAATAACTCAGTGAGAATGCAACAACTAATAACTGCTATTAATGTTTAATCTTTATTTCTTTTTGTATGTATCTTGTGTTTTTTGAGATGTATGAACAATAGAATGTGCATTCTGGCTTTTTCATTTATCATAAAATAATCACTGTTGTCCTTGGAACAATTGATTTACTTCATGGAAAGTAATTTATGTTTTCTTCCAAATATGAACGTGCTACTTTTCCAAGCTTATAATAATAAAATCAAGTCTTGAAATATCATTTTTGTCCATACCTTCTTAAAAATAACATATGTATTTTAGAAGCACATTTAACTGTCTAAAACTATTGGGGGTCAACCAATCAATTGCTTCCACTACACCTAAATATCCTGTAATTATATCCACTTAGGCTCTCTCTGGACTTGTGAAAACTTGGCTAAATTTGTCAGAGTCTCCACCTGGGACCACTAACACAACAGAAGCTATTTATCCATAGGATATAGAAACTTTGTTGTAGATGGCTTGGTTTTATTCCAGATTTCCAGGTATCTGCCTCAAAAACCTAGAAGGTTTTCTTCCAGGATTCTTAGAGATTGGGGTCTTACATTTAAATCTTTAACACATCTCAAGTTAATTTTTGTGTATAGTAAAAGATAAGCATCTGCATTTGGCTAGCCGGGTATTCCAGTACCATTTATTGAATAGGGTGTCTTTTGCTCAGTGCTTATTTTTGTAGACTTTATTAAAGATCAAAAGGCTGTAGGTGTGGAGCTTTATTTTTGGGTTCTCTATTCTGTTCTATTGGTCTACATGCCTGCTTTTTTTTTATAAGTACCATGCTGTTTTGGTTACTGTGGCCATGTAATATAGTTTGAAGTAAGATAATGTAAGGACTCTGGATTTGTTCTTTTTGCTTATAATTGCTTTGGCTATTTGGGCTCCTTTTTCATTACACATGAATTTTAGAACAGTTAATTCTGTGAAAAATGATGTTGGTAGTTTGATAGGAATAGCATTTAATTTATACATTGCTTTGGGCTTTACAGTCATTTTAATTACATTGATTATTCCAATCTATGAACATGGAATGTTTTTCCATTTGTTTTTGTCATCTATGATTTCTTTCAGCAGTGTTTTGTAGTTCTCGTAGAGAGATTTCACCTCCTTGGTTAGATGTATTCCAAGGTACTTTTTTTGTGACTATTGTAAATGGAACTGCATCCTTGATTTGCCTCCCAGTTTGAATGTTGTTGGTATATAGAAATGTTAATGAGTTTTGTACATTGATTTTGTATCCTGAAACTTTACTGAAATTGTTGACAAGTTCTGGGAGCCTATTGGTGGATTCTTCAGGGTTTTCTGTGTATGGAGTCATATTATCATCAAAGAGAGATAGTTTGACTTCTTTTCCTATCTTGATGCCTTTTATTTTTTTTTCCTCTTGTTTGCTTTCTCAGGCTAGGACTTTCAATGCTATGTTGAATAGGAGTGATTAGACTGAATGGTCTTGTCTTCTTGCAATTCTTCCAGCTTTTGCCTGTTCAATATGATGTTGGCTCTGGGTTTTTCATCAGTGGATGTTATTATTTCAAGATGTATTCCTTTGATACATAGTTTGTTGAGTGCTTTTATCATGAAGGGATGTTGGATTTTATCAAAAGGTTTTTCTCCATCTATTGAGATGACCATATGGTTTTGTTTTCAATTCTGTTTATGTGGTGAATCATACTTTTGATTTGTATATGTTGATCCAAACTTGCATCCCAGGAAAAAAGCCTACTTCATGGTGCTGAATTAATTTTGTATGTGCTGCTGTATTTGGATTGCTAATATTTTGCTGAGGGTTTTTGCATCTATGTTCATCAGGAATATTGGCCTATAATTTTATTTTTTCAATGTTTGCTCACCACTTACTGGTATCAGAGTGACACTAGTTATATAGAATGGATAAAGAGGAGTCCCCGCTCTGCCATTTTCCTGAATAGTTTCAGTAGACTTGGTAACAGCTCTTCTTTGTATGTCTGGTAGAATTTGGCTGTGAATCCATCTGATCTGGGACATTTTTTGGTTGGTAGGTTTTTTGTTACTGGTTCAATTTCAGAACTTGATATTAGTCAATTCAGGGTTTTGATTTCTTCCTGATTCAATCTTGGGAGGTTGTGCATTTCCAGGATTCTACCCATTTTCTCTGAATTGTCTATTTTGTTTTCAAAAAGGTGTTGATAATAGTCTTTGAAGAACTTTTGTATTTTTGTGGGATTGGTTGTCATTTTGTTATTTCTGATTGTGCTTATTTGGATCTGCTCTTTTTTCTTTGTTAATCTAGCTTGCAGTCTATCTATCTGGTTTATTCTTTCAAAGAATTCTATTTTGGTTTCTTTGATTCTTTACACGTGTTTTTAAGTCTCAGTTTCATTCAGTTCTGCTCTGATTTCAGTTATTTCTTTTCTTCTGCCAGCTCTGGGATTAGTTTGTTCTTTTTCTGGTTCCTGTGGGTGTGATGTTAGGTCATGAATTTGAAATCTTTCTAACTTTAGCACACTAAACTTTCCTCTTAACACAGCTTTTGCTGCATCCTAGAGATTTTGCCGTATGTGTCTCTGTTTTCATTTATTTCAAAAAATTTTTTTTTACTTCTGCCTTAATTTAATTGTTTACCCAAAAGTCATTTAGAAGCAAGTTGTTTAATTTCCATGTAATTGTGTTGTTTAGAAAGATCTTCTTGGTATTGATTTATTCCACTGTGCTTCAAAGGTATGGTTGACATGCTTTTCATTGTTTAAAAAAAGTATTGAGACTTGCTTTACGTTCAAGCATGTGGACAGCCTTGGACACGTTCTGTGTACAAATGAGAAAAATCTATATTCCATGGTTGATGGGTGTAGTATTTTGTAGATGTCTATTATGTCCAATTGCTCAAGTGTCAAATAAATCCAGAATTTCTTTGTTAGTTTTCTGCCTTGATAATCTGTATAACATTGTCAATGAGGTGTTGAAATCCCCCATTATTATTGCATGGCCATCTACATTTTTTGTAGGTCTAGAAATGCATGTTTTATAATATGGGGGCTCAAATATTGGGTGCATATATATTTATGATAGTTAAGTTTTATTTTTGAATTGAATCCTTTATCATTATGTAATGTCATTCTTTATCCTTTTTTACTGTTGTAAGTTTAAAGTCTGTTTTCTTTGTTGTAAGAATAGTGATCCCTGCTCTCTATTATTTTTTGTTTATGTGATAGATCTTTCTCTAACCCTTTACTTTGAATCTATGTTCCATGTGAGAATGGTCTCTTGAGGACAGCAATTTGATAGTCACATGGGTCTTATTTGTTTTATCCAATTTGTCACTCAGTGGCATATAGGTGGAATGTTTACATTCAAGGTTAATGTTGGTAAGTGAGGTTTGGATCCTACCATGAAGTTGCTAGTTGATTGCTTTGCAGTTTCTATTGTGTGGTTGCTTTATTGAGTTTGTGGGCTGTGTACTTAAGGATATTTTTGTGGTAGCAGATATTATTCTTTTGTTTCAATGTTTAGAACTCCCTTAAGGATCTCTTATAAGCTAATTTAGAGGTAACACATTTCCTTAGTGCTCGCTAGTCTGGAAAAGTTTTTATTTCTCCTTCACTTATGAATCCTAGTTTAAAGATATATGAAATTTTTGGTTGTAATTTCTCTTCTTTAAGAATGCTGAAAATAGGCTCCCAGATTCTTCTGGCTTGCAAGGTTGCTGCTGAGAATTTGGCATGTCTATTTCTCTAGCAAGATTAGGGAAATGTTCTTTATTTCCTGAAGTATGTTTTCTAGGTTGTTTGCTTTTCCTTTTTCTCTCTCAGGCATGCCAATAATTCATAGGCTTTGTAGATTTCATAATCCTGTATTTTTCAAGGACTTTGTTCATTTTTGTAAATTCTTTTTCTTTATTTTTACCTGACTGCATTAGTTCCAAAGACCAGCCTTCTAGCTCTAAAGTTATTTCTTCTGCTTTGTCCAGTCTATTGATAAATATTTCAATTGTGTTTTGAAATTACTTAAGTGAGTTTTTCAATTTCAGAAGTTCTAATTGATTTTATTTTCAGATGTTTATCTTTTCCTTCATTTCCTAGATTGCTTTAAGATTTTAATCATATCAAGTAGTTTCCCAACCACAATGGTAAGAAACAATAATGGTAATCATTTATTGATCAATTAAAATCAATAAAAAAAGAAAAGTTTAAAAATCAAAAATATGTGGAAACTAAACAAGATGCTCCTCAACAATCAATGTATCAAAGAAGAAATCGAAAGAAAGAGAGATTTAAAAATATCTTGAGCAAACAAAAATAGAAACAACATATCAAAATATATAGGATCCATCAAAAGCAGTTCTAAGAGGAAAGTTTATAGTAATAAATGCTATGTTTAAAAACATAGAAAGATCTCAAATAACCTAAGTTTATGCCTTCAGGAACTAGCAGAAAAAACAAACTATGTTTTGGTTACTTTTCCGTTTATCTGTAAATTCCTGTGTGTCCACGAAGCACTGCTGGATTTGTTGTTTCTCCAGTAGCAGCCCTTTGCAAGGCCCAAACCTGAAATTTAATCTGTTCAAAGAATCATAAAATGTGTGCAGTGTAGAAAACAGCTAGTGACTACCAGATCACCAAGGAAGATCTCTTTGCTCTTTGAAATTTTAATTATCTATTCCTAGATAATTAATACATACTAATAATATCTATTTGGCAATTTATATTTTTAATTGAGAAATAATAATTCTATAAACAGATATATGGGGTAGAATGTGATGTTTTGATACATGTTTACATTATGGAATGATTAAATAAAGCTGATTCACATATGTTCACATCACAAACTTATCAGTTTCCTGTAGTGAACATTTAAAATCTACTCCTTCAGCAATTTTGAATATACAATACATTATTATTAATTACATTACTTTCAAAGGCAAAAATCACAATTACTTTTGTACCTACCTAATAGAATTGTTATTCAAATTAATAATTATTAGCTACAATACATTATAATTAACTGAAACATTTAAAATCTACTCCTTCAGCAATTTTGAAATATATAATACATTATTATTAACTATGATCATTGTGCTCTACAATAGATCACTAAAACTTATTCCTACTGTCTACTTGAAACAATATTCCCTCCTTTAACCATCTACCCTTTCCCCATCTCTCACTATTCAATTTTTTGCTTCCATGGGTTTGACATTTTTATATTCCACTTACTATTGAGATTATGTGTTATTTACGGGAACTCTGATACACTGTTAGTGGACATATAAATCAGTACAGCCATTATGGAAAATGTAAGGAGGTTCCTCAAGAAAAAAAAAAGAAAAGAATTACCATATTATCCAGGAATTCCACACACCTGTCAGACCTCAATCAAAACTCCAGGATGCCCATCCTCAAGAGGTATAAGTAAATTATGGGGTGGCTGCATGTTATGACAACTTTTGTTTCTTTAGCCTGAGTATTTTACTGGCTTCTTTACTCCTCCACAGAAGACCTGTCTTCCCCCTTTTATTTCAGCAGTCCCTCCAAGACATTTATAATGAACTATTGTCCTAAAGTCCTTCTATTTAAAAACCAAGCATCATTATTTTCTTTTCCTCACCAAACTTCAACTCATGTTTACAGAGACTGTCTTTTCTCAGGATCAATGAGGAATGCAATGGGATCTTCCCATATCAATGTGAAAAACACTAATTTATCAACGAATTAACCCTACCCTGAATTATTGCAACAGGACAATTATATTTCATCTGTCTCATTCTTTTTTTTTTCTTTTCGAGACAGTCTTGCTCTGTCTTCCAGGCTGGAGTGCAGTGGCACTATCTTGGCTCACTGCAACCTCCACCTCCCAGGTTCAAGGGATTCTCCTGCCTCAGCCTCCCAAGTAGCTGGGATTATAGGCACCCACCAGCACGACCAGCTAATTTTTGTATTTTTTGTAGAGACGGGGTTTCACCATGTTAGCCAGACTCATCTTGAACTTCTGACCTCAGGCGATCCGCCCGCCTTGGCCTCCCAAAGTGCTGGGATTAGAGGTGTGAGCCACCGCACGGGCCCATCAGTCTCATTCTTAAAGGATTGGTGTATTAGTTAGGATTCTCTAGCAGGACAGAACTAATAAGATGTGTGTGTGTGTGTGTGTGTGTGTGTGTGTGTGTGTATAAAGAGGAGTTTATTAGGTAGTATTAATTCACACGATCACAAGCTCCCACAATAGACCATCTGCAAGCTGAGAAGCAAAGAAGCCAGTCTGAGTCCCAAATCTGAAGAAATTGGAATCTGATGTTCCAGGGCAGGAAGCACCCAGCACAGGAGAAAGATGCAGGCTAGAGTCTAAGCCAGTCTATAGTCTTTTCACATTTTTCTGCCTGCTTTATATCCCAGCCTCTCTGGCAGCTGATTAGACGGTGCTGACCCAGATTAAGGGTGGGCCTGCCTTTCCCAGACTCAAATGTTAATCTCCTTTGGTAACACCCTCATAGACACACCCAGGAGCTACATTTTCATCCTTCAATCCAGTCAAGTTGACACTCGGTATTAACCATCACACTTGGTAATGTGGATATTATAGAAGGTCATCAGAGACATAATGCAGGTGAAGATGTATTGAGATTACCTAGCATATGTATATGATACCATAAACAATACATATACAGCTATACATATGATTCCACTTGTACATATACTCATGTGTGTATGTGCATGTGTATTCATAAAATCAGTTTCTCTGTGTTGGACAAGATTTTTCCTGCTTCCCTCTGTTTACCCTGAGTAAGTCTATAGCAAAAGTCCATCATGGAAGAAAACCCATCGCTTCTAGGAAAATCACTTTTGAAAGGAACATGGTCACAAAATCCTCAAAAATATCCCCTACTCTTTTCCCTTCCCTATAATATTGTACATCCCAGAGAGAAAAATTTTCTCCTAAATTAAAATATGTGATTTCACTTCTAATGGGTAAATACCCAGGAAAGGAATTATTGAGTTAAATGGGAAGTCTTTGTGTAATTTCATAAGATATTGCTAAATTGTTTTCAAAGACTTAACTTTTACCTCCACCTGAAATGTGTTAGCATTACAGTTGATTCATTTTTTTCACTGACACTTGGCATTTCAGTTAAATTTATTTTAGCCATTCTAATGAGTGTTCAATTATACATCACTCTGTGTGTGTATGTATGTGTGTGTGTGTGTGTGTGTCTGTGTGTGTGTGTGTGTGTCTGTGTGTGTGTTGAGACAGAGTCTCCCAGGCCAGACTGCAGTGGCATTATAGCTCACTGTAACCCCGAACTCCTGGGTTCAAGCAATCTTACCACCTCAGCCTCCTCAGTCACTGTGGTTTTAATATAACTTTCATTGATGATTAGTGATACTCAATATCTTTTCAGGTGTTTATGAATGATTTGTGTATCTTCTTTTGTCAAGTGTGTCCTAAAACATTTAATCCATTTTTAACTAGATGGTTTGTCTTCTTGTTTTGAGTACAATAGTTCTTTATATGTTCCACAAACAAATCATTTGTCAGACCTAAATATTACAAATATTTATTTACAATCTGCAGCTTACATTTTCACTTTCTTAATGTGTCTTTTGCCATAAAAAAAACTTTTAACATAAGGTTTTATTGTTAATAAAATTCATTTTATCCATTTTCTGATGATCCATTCTTTTAACATTCTATCCAAAAAAGTTCCACCCAAACTTTGAAAAGATTCTCCCTATGTTTTATGCTAAAAGGTACTTATAACATTTACATTTAGATTTATGATATATTTCATTTAATTCAAGTTAGTAGCTTTGTATGATGGGAAATAAAACTTATGGCTCTTTTGTTCCACACGAATATCCAGTTTTCCCATTATTATTTTTCTCCATTGAATTATAATGGCCTGTTTGTTGGAATATAAGTTACCAGATATGTGTGACTTCATTTTAGGACTCTGTTACCTTAATATCCCATTGCCTGAATACTCAGATAATTTTTTAGAATAAAATAGGGCATGCATTAAGAAAGGTAGAGTAATACTTAATTCCATTTCATTTGCTAATCAGCAGGCTATAATTTTCATGAATAAAAATCAACTTCTTCCATTCAAAACAAGAAAAAGTAAAGGGTTGGTTGTTCCACAAGACACAGTAAGCAGAAGTTTTGTTAAAGTCACTCAGGAATATGGTTTTCCTGATTACAATTTTAGGGAACCATCCTGAATCTGCACACATTTAATCAGTTTGAATCAGTTTTGCTTTGAAAATACACATAAAATTACAGAATACCTAGAAAAGTATTTTAAAATAATTTACAAATACTGCAACAGATGATATAAAAGCTTTAGGTTTTAGAATTTTTAGTTACATGTCATTTAGATCTATTTCAAAAGGTTGTGCTGGTGTGAATGTGTCAACTGATAGTCTATTGATTAAATAATTTGAATAATCAATTGCACTGTAAGAGATGGGTAATCTGTAAGATAGTAAATCACTTTTTTCAGAAATAACGTATCTAAGAACATCATATTCAGTGGTAAATCAATTTGGTGACAACTAATTTTTCAAACATGTTATTGATATCTTTGTTCCTAAGGCTGTAGATCAATGGGTTCAGCATTGGAATCGCCACTGTGTAAAACACAGAAGCCACTGTAACTATGAGGCTAGAAGTTTTAGGATTAGGAACACAGTAAAGGAAAAGGATAGTTCCATGGAAGATAGTGATGGCTGTCAGGTGGGAGGCACAGGTGGAGAAAGTTTTCTGGCGCCCACTTGCAGATCGCATCTTCATAATGGTAGTGAAAATAAGCATATATGATGTCAGAATGATAATTAGGCTGCTCACCTCATTGAATATGGCAATAATAAAGCATAGCCTCTGGCTGATATAGGGGTCTGAGTAGGAGGCAGAAACAATTACAGAGTGGTCACAGATAAAATTATTTATGAAGGTAGATTCACAAAACGATAAGTCAAGAAGAAAATATGTGAGTATCAGGGAGCACACTATCCCCCATGTATAGGACCCAGCCACCAGAAGAGCACAGAGCTTCTGAGACATAATAGTGGTATACAGCAAGGGTTTACAAACTGCCACAAAACGGTCATAAGCCATCGCTGCTAACATGAAAGTTTCTGTCACTCCAAAAATGCAAGCAAAACAAAATTGCATGATGCAACCAGAGAAAGAGATGGTTCTGTATTCCACAACCAAGTTCTCCAACAGTTTAGGTGTAACTACAGTGGAAAAACAGAAGTCTGTCAAGGACAAGTGACTAAGGAAAAAGCACATGATTGTATGGAGTTTTGAATTGAGTCTGATGATTATTATCATGCCCAAGTTCCCCACTACAGTGACTGTGTAGACGAACAAGAAAACCAGAAAGAGTGGAACCTGGATTTCTGGGTATTCTGAAAAACCCAAGAGAATAAAAGTGGGTGTGCTGCTTTGATTTCTTTCAGATGCCATCATGATACTTGTTGGATTAAAAGGAAAAAAGTTATTCTTGAAAAGCAGAACTGGATAGGAAAAAAGAGATAGGAAAGAGGCTTCATGTGTTTCTAGGACAAGTGATATAGAACAGTGATTCTCAAAATGTGGTCATCAAACCAGCAGTAGCATCACCTCCTGGGAACTTCCTACTATTGCCAATTCTCCAGCTCCATCAACCTTCTGAACAGAAGCTCTGGGATGAGGCCCACTATTTGTGGTTTAGTCAAGTCTCCAGGTGATTTTGATGCCTGCTAAAGGGCAAAAACCACCACTTACATGGAAAATATACAGTAATCATTCTATTATTGAAAAGTCAGCCATTTTTAGTATGATTGACATAGAACTGAAATATATATTATGACATAAAATCAATTTTTAAAAACTGAGAAGCACAAAGGAAACCTTCTCATGGATCTAAAAATTACACTGAGGATCAAGTAGGTGATTTAGCACCGCCAATGGTGGCACATAAATGTTACTATTTTCTACCTTTGCTGGGCATAACACAGAATTAAATGATTGTAGAATTTAAGAATTTAAATAAACCATAAAATGTATATAGCCTATGCCTTGCACCTAATCCTCAAGAGTTTGCTGTGGAAGCCCATTTCTAAGATGTTTATGTAGCTTCCATTAAAACTTTCATCAATGTACATTGCCTCCTGGAGTGTTTTTATGGGCATTTTGACAATTTGCTGAACTTTTATTATTTTATTAAATAAAGTCAATTAATTAAATTTCCATTACCTGTTCCTTGATGTGCTTTAGGTCACATCTTCTGAGATATACATATATATGTATACATGTATGCACATAATATGTATTCTATATGTGCTAATACAGAATATGTTAGAAAAATAGAAACATCTGTAGTTGTCAAAAATATTTTCATACAAAATATATTCTCTGATACCCTGAAAGTTGTATAATGAAAATTACACATGTTCTTAACCAATAAGAAATAAATAATCTCTCTTTCTTTTTTTTTTTTTTTGAGCTTGAGGCAATTTTATTGAAATTAGTGGTAAGAATGAAAGATTACAGCCAATCTAAAATCAGTGGGCTACATCAAATTATAAACAAAGGTTGTAATCTAGTCATTCAACATGCACTGTTTATATGGAGTTATTTCTATTTATTTATTTTTGTTTGCTTGTTTTTGAGACAGGGTCTCACTCTGTCACCCAGGCTAGAGTGCAGTGGCAAGATCAATGCTCACTGCAGCCTCGAACTCCCAGGCTCAAGTGATCCTCCTCAGTAGATGGGACTACAGGCATGCACCACCACACTAGGATAATTTCTTATTTTTCTCTAGAGACAGGGTCTCACTATGTTGCCCAGGGTGTTCTCAAACTTCTGAGCTCAAGCGGTTATCTCTCTTTCATGATAAGACAAACTTTAAGAAGACAGGGGAGTGAAAATAATAAAACCTAAAGTAAATGGACTTGTTATGAGTGAAAAAGCATGAATAAAAATAGGACGATGCAGCAGAAATCCATGTATATTTCTTTTTTCATCTTCTCAGCTTTCCCTGAAATGAGTGCCAAGCTCCAGTCCTATGCATTTCCTTACATGCACTACAAGCAACCCTCAACACAGAGCATTCATCATGAGCATATTCTTTCCAGTACCAAGTGGGCCTGGGTGATTTCACTTTAAGCATTCATTATCATTTACACAATGCTAATGAATGGTTTGCCCTTCAACGTTTGACCAGAGTAGTGAAGGCTGCTACCACTGCTTGGGATACTTGGCACAGTTAATAGGTCAATAACAAAAGAGATTCTCAGAAAGAGACCTGATATTTAAGGCTTAGCTATTTCAAAAGCATTTCATAAACATCAATGGGTTGTCATTAGGCTTGTACTCAAGACAAAGCAGGCACAGGGAAGTTCAAAATCAACAAATATCTCATAAGTTTTTGTAGACTTTTCTCCATTGTTCCCTAGTGCCACCACTAGCGGTGTCTGTATTACAAAATGTAATTCTAATGAATACTTCATGCTTTGTTAGTGAAAATTAAAATGTCTCTAGCCATAAAAAGAGGCCAATTTAACTTTTAGGGTAATCTATATGCACTGGATTCCCATGTTTTCCACCTGAATTGAAAGATAGCAAAAGATAAATGAACTAACCTGAAGCCAGAAGCTCTTGATTAATTTTCTGAGAATCTATTTTTCTGATTAATGAACAACAGGTACTTTTCTTCTCAATAGTCAAACATTCTTTAAGACAGCAGCAGGCTTTAAAAGCGGTAGTGCATTTCAATGAGTGTGCCAGCAAAATAGCATTTTATTTCTAGGATATAAGAAATCTCAATACAAGGAAAAAACAAAAAGCCAAATCTATAATATAATGTCTACTAAACTCTGGGTTTTATCTGTCTCCATGACTACAGAGTATAATTAGAGTTTTCTTGGTTGGCCTCCAAACACAATTAATTGGCTGTCTCTTGTGTCATTATGATAGATACATTTTCTTCTAAATTATTAGGGATAATTACATCACCACAATTATTCCATTAACTACCTTTAACTCTTGAATTATTGAAATTGTACATGTTCACCAAATAAAACATCAACAGCATAGTTTGAGAATAGGAAAAAAATAAGGAACAATTCAGAAATAGCTAGTATGAATACAACTACATTTCAAATTCCACATTCAAATTCATAGTGAAGAAATCGGACATGTAAAACTACTTTAAGCACAGGATGAAAGTTACCACGACCAGTGGTATCATGATGTGAGTATCATGTACCCTTGACATGATGTTATAAGAGAGACACTTTGCTTTTGTCATTTACTTATGCTGAAAACCGTAAACCCAGCTTAATATGAGAACATTATCAGGAAAACCCAGACGTGGGAGTACTCTACAGGATATGTAGAGAGTACTCCTTAAGACTCTCAAAGTCAATGTGCAGTGTTATTTCTGAGGCCTCTGTTCTGTTCCATTGGTCTATATATCTGTTTTGGTACCAATACCGTGCTGTTTTGGTTACTGTAGCCTTGAAGTATATTTTGAAGTTGGGTAGCGTGATCCCTCCAGCTTTGTTCTTTTGCTTAGGCTTGTCTTGGCTATGCAGGCTCTTTTTTGGTTCCATATGAAATTTAAAGTAGTTTTCTTCCAATTATGTGAAGAAAGCCAATGGTAGCTTGATGGGGATAGCACTGAATATATAAGTTATTTTGGGCAGTATGGCCATTTTCACAATATCAATTCTTCCTATCCATGAGCATGGAATGTTTTTCCATTTGTTTGTATCCTCTCTTATTTTGTTGAGCAGTGGTTTGTAGTTCTCCTTGAAGAGGTCCTTCACATACCTTGTAAGTTGGATTCCTTGGTGTTATATTCTCTTTGAATACCATCTGATATCTGATAGAAACCTGACAAAAACAAGCAATGGGGAAAGGATTCCCTATTTTATAAATGGTGTTGGGAAAACTGGCTAGCCATATGCAGAAAGCTGAAACTGGATCCATTCCTTACACCTTACACAACAATTAACTCAAGATGGATTAAAGACTTAAACGTTAGGTCTAAAACCTTAAAAAACTTAGAAGAAAACCTAGGCAATACCATGCAGAACATAGGCATGGGCAAAGACTTCATAACTAAAACACTAAAAGCAATGGCAACAAAGCCAAAACTGACAAATGCAATCTAATTAAACTAAAGAGCTTCTGCACAGCAAAAGTAACTATCATCACAGTGAACAGGCAACCTACAGAATGGGAGAAAATTTTTGCAATCTATCCGTCTGACAAAGAGCTAATATCCAGAATCTACAAATAACTTAAACAAATTTACAAGAAAAAAACAAACAACTCCATCAAAAAGTGAGTGAAGGATATGAACAGACACTTCTCAAAAGAAGACATTTATGCAGCTGACAAACGTGAAATAAAGCTCATCCTGGTCATTAGAGAAATGCAAATCAAAACCACATTGAGATTCCATCTCATGCCAGTTAGAATAGTGATCATTAAAAAGTCAGGAAACAACAGATGCTGGAGAGGTTGTGGAGAAATAGAAATGCTTTCACACCATTGGCGGGAGTGTAAATTAGTTCAACCATTATAGAAGACAACGTGGCACTTCCTCAGGGATCTAGAACTAGAAATACCATTTGACCCAGCAATCACATTACTGGGTATATACCCAAAGGATTATAAATCATTCTACTATAAAGACTCATGCACATGTATGTTTATTGCAGCACTGTTCACAATAGCAAAGACTAGAAACCAACCCAAATGCCCATCAATGATAGACTGGATAAAGAAAATGTGACACATATACACCATGGTATACTATGCAGCCATAAAAAAGAATGAGTTCATGTCCTGTGCCAGGACATGAATGAAGCTGGAGGCCATCATTCTCAGCAAACTAACACAAGAACAGAAAACCAAACACTGCACGTCTTCACTCATAACTGGGAGTTGAACAATGAGAACACATGGACACAGAGAGAGGGACATAATACATCAGGGACTGTTGCAGGGTGGGGTCTAGGGGAGGGATAGCATTAGGAGAAATATCTAATGTAGACGATGGGTTGATGGGTGCAGCAAACCACCATGGCATGTGTATACCTATATAACAAACCTGCACGTTCTGCACATGTACCCCAGAACAAAAAAAAAAAAAGATGAAATTCAAATAAAGACTGGAGTTTAGTTGTAGTAATGTACCAATGTTTTTTGTGTGAATATTTTAATGAGAACACTTAACATGAGATGTACCTACCTAACAGATTTTTAAGTGCACAATACAGTATTGTTAACTATGAATACAATGTTTTAAAACAGATCTATGGAATTTATTAACTTTATGCCCACTGATTAGTGACTTCTTAATTCCCACTTTGCCCAGCCCCTAGCAACCACCATTCCACTATTTCAAACTATAAATTTGGCTATTACAGACACTTCACGTATGTGAACCATGCAGCATTTGCCCTTCTGCAACTGGCTTATTTTACATAAAATCATGTCTTCAAGCTTCATCCATGTTGTCGTAGTTACAGAATTTCCTTATTTTATATGGCAATATAGTATTCTATTGTATGTATGTATATACAACAATTTATTTATTCATCTGTTGATGAATATTTAGGTTGTAATACATCTTGCCTATTGTGAATTGTGTTGCAATAAACATGGAATACAGATATACCCTTGGGATCCTGATTTCAATTATTTTGGATATAATACTGAGAAGCGGTATTGCTGGATCATACAGTAATATTATTTTTAATTTTTTGATGACCCACCATATTGTTTTCCATATCACTTGCACCATTTTGCATTCCTATGAACAGTATATAAAAATTCCCTTTTCTCCACATCCTTGCTAATTCTTGTCATGTATGTGTGTGTGTGTTTATACATGTAATAGCCATAAAACATACATATATATAATAGCCATATATATATATATATATCAGCTATCTTAGCACATTAGGTGACATAATCCCTTTTTGGTTTTGATTTACATTCCTCTAATGAATAGTGATATTGATTTCTAATATAACTATTGGCCATTTGTTTGTCTTTTTTGGAGAAATATCTATTGAAGCACTTAGGCCATTTTCTTCAACTGTGTTATTAGATTATTTTTTGCTATTGAGTTATTTGAGCTTTTTATATATTTTGGATATTAACCTGCTATCAGATATATGGGTTGCAAGTACGTTTTCCTTTTCTGTAGGTTAACTTTTTACTCGATTGATTATTTTGTGACCTAGAAGCTCTTTTTGACAAAATTGTAATGATAATTGTGTAAGATGTCAAGTGTGGATTACTGAGTGAGGAGTGTATAGGAATTCTCTGAACAAGTTTTCCACTTGTTTTGTAAATCTGAAAATATGTAAAGTTTTTTTTTTCATGTTAACATTCACAGAAAAAGGCCCATTTCATTTAATCTTTACCACTACAATCACTGCTGCTTAGTGCTAAGACCTCATCACCTCTGACACTGAGATAATGAAATGTATAACAAGCAGCCTCTTAACGTCCACACTTGCTCCTTTCGAATCAATTTGCTACACCATTTTCCAGAATTTTTTTTTTTTAGTGTACATGACTGTGTGTGTGTATGTGGGTGGTGGGAGTTGGACTGGGAGTGATTAACATGTTTGAGCTCCTAATTACTACATAAATAGAAATTTATTTAGTGTATGCAAACCCACATGATATTTCCTAACAATACACGTATTTGACAAAGAAACAAACAATACATGGTCTAGTTTTCTAGGCCACAATAGTGCTATGTGGAATAACCAGGACTCAAATAATATCCTTCCATATAGAGAGATGCTACAAAATCACAGCAATCTGAAGACATACATCAGTCATATCAATTACCTTAGGTTTCTAGTTTGATTGATTTGATGCTTTCCTTGTGCTCTTCCCCACCACACTCTTAAATCCACACTGCATTTTACTGCACTAGTGTCTAATTCAGTGCCAGGCTACATATTTAAAAGGTATTTGTGAAACTAATCGATAAAAATCAATCTTACAGAAGCCATTTATATTTTTAATAATTGCAGTTTACAAAGCAACTCTATTATCTCACTTGTTGGATGAAATGAAAGTGGCATTAGCATGAGATTCTAATGCTTAAATTGATATAGAATGTGATTTTCATAAAGAAAACTCCATTCTTGATTTTTTACACTCTGGGAATTGAATTAAGCATTCTAACCGTGCATCATTAGAGGCAGAAATTAGACCATTCCCTAGATCATTAATTCTCCATAGTGTTTGTACTTCTGTAACACTACATGCAATATAGCATAATGAAAACTTTGAGAAGTCTAAGATAATTGTAAATGAGAAAGACATCCATAATTGAAAACTGAAAATACATTGAAAGTGTATCATTTCATGAAACAAAGAGCGTAAAATATTAAGATTGCCAGAAATGTTTAAAATAATTATTGAAGAAAAAGTATACACCAAAACGCATACTTGACAATGATAATTCTTCTAAAAATATGCCATAAAACAATGAGAATGAATCTCAATAATACATTTCAGTTCATTTTTAGGTCCAATATAATCTATCTCTTGAAGTAATATAGAGATATTTGTAAGGGGAAATAATATATATGTAATCCACAGTATGTGCGTTAAAGATTTACATATATAAATACACAAAACACAGATATATTTACATATGATATTTACATATTATCTGTATATATGGGTAACTATATCTTGTAAATATATGTATCTATTAATCTACCTACAAAGAGAGAAAGGCAGAGACAAAAACAGATACTTGATGATTATAAAATTTTAGATACTTTGTTGATCACAAAATAGAAATCATGCCAACATATTTTAGCCATCCATTTCTATATTAAAACATGTTGTGATTAATTAAATATAATGGTATTTGATTTTATAATATGTTTACCTAAGGTGATTTAAAAGATACTTTAAAAAAAATCTCCACATGCCACTCTCTGTTTTCCCACCTAAAGTAACCACTGCCAAGTCTTCATTTGTTTGAATCCTTAAGAAATAGTAATGTACTTGCATGTTCATATGTAATAGAGACACACACATGTACTTCTTATATATATGATTTCAAATTATGACTACTGTGTAGTCCTTGTTCAATTTTCCTGAAAGATTCTATTTTAGAGATAGAAGTATTTGTAAAATATAAGTATATATTAAAATGACTTAGTATTTTTAATGGTTGTATGGTGTGATTTTTAAAATATGTTATAATTAATTACCAAATAGTTATTAATGGACATTTAAGAGTCTCCAGTCTTTTGTTGTTATAATTAATACTTCAAATATATCCAAATTTATATGTTTATGATCTTTTTAAATATAAATTTTCAGAAACAATATTGCTGTGTCATAAGTTATATTTTCTTAGGGTAGCTATTCCCAAATTACTCTCTAAAGTAATTCTACCAATTTGCACTCTTACCAGTAATTATATGTATAATAGTCCTTGAAGATGTATATGCATGCTACCAATCCCCCTTCAAGGAGTATCTTATTCTCCAGGTTGTCAACTTCTTCCGCATTGGCTTCAGCTACATGGAACCAGGGTGCTCATCTAACTAATTGGGCATGGATACAAAGATCTGGCCCAAGGGGATCAATTCAGAGACTGTATGTCACATGTGTGCCAAAGCTCCCACAGGATAAGGCAAGGCTTTGTTGGGTTCATCACACCTGATGAACATCTGATGTTCTTCACACCTGATGAACATCTGTGTGATGTTCTTCACACCGGATGAACATCTGTGTGATGTTCTTCACACCGGATGAACATCTGTGTGATGTTCATCACACCGGATGAACATCTGTGTGATGTTCATCACACCGGATGAACATATGTGTGGTGTTCATCAACATCATATCCACATATAGACAGTTTGTACCTTCCATTCCCTTTCCTTTACTCCCACACCTAGCTGTTCATCCACAAAAAATACTCTACGTGCCAAACGCTGTCCCAAGAACTGTGTGCATGGAATCTAACTGTAACACTTTCTTAAAAATGTGGATTTTTCTAAGTGCTGCCAAGGAATCCACATTTCTTTCATTCTTTTAGATTATTTTAATTGAAATATAACTTAAATGCAACGAAGTGCACAATTAAGAGTTCAACTCAATAAAGTGAACAAACTTGTACATAAACCAACAAGTTTAACATATTAGTTATTATCAAATATTACCCAGCAGCACATACTATGCCTCCTCCCAGTCAGTAAACTTCAAGGGTGACTACTATTCTGACATATTGATATAGATTAATTTTGTGTGTTTATGAATTTATATTAATAAAATAATATTATTTATACACATCAATATTTGCTTTTTCTTTTTTAACAGTATGACAATAAAATTCCATGATATTATTCAGAGTATGGGTTATTACATCACCATCCACTAAAAAACAAGCATAACAAAAACAAATGAAAATAAACAAAGTGAAGCAAACCATGTTGGTAACCTAGAAAATAAAAAGGAATCTACAAAAAGAAAACCCACAGAAAACATTCTAAATATGAAATAAAAATTATTTCCTTGTGAAGTTAAGACCTCAAGGATTCCCAATTTTACTCTTTAGTCAACATAATACAGAGATGCCTAGCAAGTTAACCAAGACAAGACAAACCAGTAAAAGGTATATCATTTAGAACAACACAAAAAGTTTACATTTAATCGAAGAGAATATGATGCATATGTTGAAAACTCAAAATAATCGACAAATAAGTTATAACATTAATAAGATATTCTAATAGAATTGTCAGAAGCAAAATCAATGTAAAAATAAATTGTATTAAAATCTAAAAATAACATATATCACAACTGACATGAAAATGGCATGAAAAACTTCAAGCACTCAGTGATTTATTTAACAAAATGTGTGCAAGAACTTTACAGAAAAAAAGAGATGCAACAATTTTTATAAAAATTGAAGTAAATCTAAATAAAAAGAAAGATATAGAAAGTTCATGGTTTGCAAAACCCAGTGATGCAAACTTGCTATTTTTTTCCCAAGTAAATCTATCCGGTTATAATTCAACCCTAAGTCCACAAAAACTATGCGAAAATTTTTTTTAGAAAAGTGAAAGCCCATCACTGATACCCTTTCTTCCAGTTGATCGCATTGGCTACTGAGGTTTGTGCATTCATCACATAGTTCTTGTGCCACGGCTTTCAGCTCCATCAGGTCCTCTAAGGACCTTTCTGCATGAAAAGAAGTGAGAAGAGCAGTTTAGAGATAAAAGAATAAAAAGAAACAAACAAAGCCTCCAAGAAATATGGGACTATGTGAAAAGACCAAATCTACGTCGGATTGGTGTACCTGAAAGTGATGGGGAGAATGGAACCAAGTTGGAAAACATTCTGCAGGATGTTATCCAGGAGAACTTCCCCAATCTAGCAAGGCAGGCCAACATTCAAATTCAGGAAATACAGAGAACGCCACAAAGATACTCCTCGAGAAGAGCAACTCCAAGACACATAATTGTCAGATTCACCAAAGTTGAAATGAAGGAAAAAATGTTCAGGGCAGCCAGAGAGAAAGGTCAGGTTACCCACAAAGTGAAGCCCATCAGACTAACAAGATGATAGCTGGGCAGAAACTCTACAAGCCAGAAGAGAGTAGGGGCCAATATTCAACATTCTTAAAGGAAAGAATTTTCAACCCAGAATTTCATATCCAGCCAAACTAAGCTTCATAAGTGAAAGAGAAATAAAATACTTTACAGACAAGCAAATGCTGAGAGATTTTGTCACCACCAGGCCTGCCCTAAAAGAGCTCCTGAAGGAAGCACTAAACATGGAAGGGAACAACCAGTACCAACCACTTTAAAAACAAGCCAAATTGTAAAGACCATCAAGGCTAGGAAGAAACTGCATCAACTAACAAGCAAAATAATCAGGTAACATCATAATGACAGGATCAAATTCAAACATAACAATATTAATCTTAAATGTAAATGGGCTAAATGCTCCAATTAAAAGGCACAGGCTGGCAAATTGGATAAAGAGTCAAGACCCATCAGTGTGCTGTATTCAGGAAACCCATCTCACGTGCAGAGACACACATAGGCTCAAAATAAAGGGATGGAGGAAGATCTACCAAGCAAATGAAAAGCAAAAAAAGGCAGGGGTTGCAATCCTAGTCTCTGATAAAACAGACTTTAAACCAACAAAGATCAAAAGAGACAAAGAAGGTCATTACATAATGGTAAAGGGATCAATTCAACAAGAAGAGGTAACTTTCCTAAATATATAGGCACCCAATACAGGAGCACCCAGATTCATAAAGCAAGTCCTTAGTGACCTAACAAAGAGACTCAGACTCCCACACAATAATAATGGGAGACTTTAATACACCACTGTCAACATTAGACAGATCAATGAGCCAGAAAGTTAAAAAGGATATCCAGGAATTGAACTCAGCTCTGCACCAAGCAGACCTAATAGACATCTACAGAACACTCCACCCCAAATCAACAGAATATACATTCTTTTCAGCACCACACCACACCTACTCCAAAATTGACCACATAGTTGGAAGTAAAGCACTCCTCAGCAAATGTAAAAGAACAGAAATTATAACAAACTATCTCTCAGACCACAGTGCAATCAAACTAGAACTCAGGATTAAGAAACTCACTCAAAACTGCTCAACTACATGGAAACTGAACACCTGCTCCTGAATGACTACTGGGTACAAAACGAAATGAAGGCAGAAATAAAGATGTTCTTTGAAACCAATGAGAACAAAGACAAAACATACCAGAATCTCTGGGACACATTCAAAGCAGTGTGTAGAGGGAAATTTATAGCACTAAATGCCCACAAGAGAAAGCAGGAAAGATCCAAAATTGACACCCTAACATCACAATTAAAAGAACTAGAAAAGCAAGAGCAAACACATTCAAAAGCTATCAGAAGGCAAGAAGTAATTAAGATCAGAGCAGAATCAAAGGAAATAGAGACACAAAAATCCTTCAAAAAATCAATGAATCCAGGAGCTTGTTTTTTGAAAAGACCAACAAAATCGATAGACCACAAGCAAGACTAATAAAGAAGAAAAGAGAGGAATCAAATAGACACAATAAAAAATGACAAAGGGGATATCACCACCGATCCAACAGAAATATAAACTACCATCAGAGAATACTATAAACACCTCTATGCAAATAAACTAGAAAATCTAGAAGAAATGGATAAATTCTTCGACACATACACCCTCCTAAGACTAAACCAGGAAGAAGTTGAATCTCTGAACAGACCAATAACAGGCTCTGAAATTGAGGCAATAATTAATAGCTTACCAACCAAAAACAGTCCAGGACCAGATGGATTCACAGCCGAATTCTACCAGAGGTACAAGGAGGAGCTGGTACCATTCCTTCTGAAACTATACCAATCAATAAAAAAAGAGGGAATCCTCCCTAACTCATTTTATGAGGCCAGCATCATCCTGATACCAAAGCCTGGCAGAGACACAACAAAAAAAGAGAATTTTAGACCAATATCCTTGATGAACATTGATGCAAAAATCCTCAATAAGATACAGGCAAACTGAAACCAGCAGCACATCAAAAAGCTTATCCACCATGTCCAAGTGGGCTTCATCCCTGGGATGCAAGGCTGGTTCAACATATGAAAATCAGTAAATGTAATCCAGCATATAAACAGAACCAAAGACAAAAACCACATGATTATCTCAATAGATGCAGAAAAGGCCTTTGACAAAATTGAACAGCCCTTCATGCTAAAAACTCTCAATAAATTAGGTATTGATGGGACGTATCTCAAAATAATAAGAGCTATCTATGACAAACCCACAGCCAATATCATACTGAATGGACAAAAACTGGAAGCATTCCCTTTGAAAACTGGGCACAAGACATGGATGCCCTCTCTCACCACTCCTATTCAACATAGTGTTAAAAGTTCTGTCTAGGGCAATCAGGCAGGAGAAGGAAATAAAGGGCATTCAATCAGGAAAGGAGGAAGACAAATTGTCTCTTTTTGCAGATGACATGATTGTATATTTAGAAAACCCTACTGTCTCAGCCCAAAATCTCCTTAAGCTGAAAAGCAACTTCAGCAAATTCTCAGGATACAAAATCAATGTGCAAAAATCACAAGCATTCTTATACACAAATAACAGACAAACAGAGAGCCAAATCATGAGTGAACACCCATTCACAATTGCTTCAAAGAGAATAAAATACCTAGGAATCCAACTCACAAGGGAATTGAAGGGCCTCTTCAAGGAGAACTACAAACCACTGCTCAAGGAAATAAAAAAGGATACAAACAAATGGAAGAACATTCTGTGCTCATGGATAGGAAGAATCAATATCGTAAAAATGGCCATACTGCCCAAGGTAATTTATAGATTCAATGCCATCCCCATCAAGCTACCAATGATTTTCTTCACAGAATTGGAAAAAACTACTTGAAAATTCATATGGAACCAAAAAAGAGCCCGCATTGCCAAGTCAATCCTAAGCCAAAAGAACAAAGCTGGAGGCATCACACTATCTGACTTCAAACTATACTACAAGACTACAGTAACCAAAACAGCATGACACTGGTAACAAAACAGAGATACAGACCGATGGAACAAAAGAGAGCCCTCAGAAACAATGCCACATGTCTACAACTATCTGATCTTTGACAAAGCTGACAAAAACAAGAAATGGAGAAAGGATTCCCTATTTGATAAATGATGCTGGGAAAACTGGCTAGCCATATATAGAAAGCTGAAACTGGATCCCTTCCTTACACCTTATACAAAAATTAATTCAAGATGAATTAAATACTTACATGTTAGACCTAAAACCATAAAAACCCTAGAAGAAAACCTAGGCACTACCATTCAGGACATGGGCATGGGCAAAGACTTCATGTCTAAAACACCAAAAGCAGTGGCAACAAAAGCCAAAATTGACAAATGGGATCTAATTAAACTAAAGAGCTTCTGCACAGCAAAAGAAACTACTATCAGAGTGAACAGGCAACCTATAGAATGGGAAAAAATTTTTGCAATCTACTCATCTGACAAAGGGCTAATATCCAGAATCTACAATGAACACCAACAAATTTACAAGAAAAAAACAAACAACCCCATCAAAAAGTGGGCAAAGGATATGAACAGACACTTCTCAAAAGAAGACATTTATGCAGCCAAAAAACACATGAAAAAATGCTCATCATCACTGGCCATCAGAGAAACGCAAATCAAAACCACAATGAGATACCATCTCACACCAGTTAGAATGGCAATCATTAAAAAGTCAGGAAACAACAAGTGCTGGAGAGGATGTGGAGAAATAGGAATACTTTTGCACTGTTGGTGGGAATGTAAACTACTTCAACCATTGTGGAAGTTGGTGTGGCGATTCCTCAGGGATCTAGAACTAGAAATACCATTTGACCCAGCCATACTATTACTGGGTATATATCCAAAGGTTTACAAATCATGCTGCTGTAAAGACACATGCACACGTATATTTATTGTGGCACTATTCACAATAGCAAAGACTTGGAACCAACCCAAATGTCCAACAATGATAGACTGGATTGAGAAAATGTGGCACATATACACCATGGAATACTATGCAGCCATAAAAAATGATGAGTTCATGTCCTTTGTAGGGACATAGATGAAGCTGGAAGCCATCATTCTCAGCAAACTATCACAAGGACAGAAAAGCAAACACGCATCTTCTCACTCATAGGTGGGAACTGAACAATGAGAACACATGGACACAGGAAGGGGAACATCACACACCGGAGACTGTTGTGGGGTGGGAGGAGGGGGGAGGGTTAGCATTAGGAGATATACCTAATGCTAAATCACGAGTTAATGGGTGCAGCACACCAACAGGGCACACGTATACATATGTAACAAACCTGCACGTAGTGCACATGTACCCTAAAACTTAAAGTATATATATATAAAAAAAAACCTGGTGGTGGGATGTAACAGGACAAACATTAAAAAAAAAAAAAAAGAAACATGAAAGCCCAAAGTATCTCAATTACACTACAAGAAAAAATAATTAGTTTTCACCCTGATGAAAGAAACTGTAGATGCCACAGACAAATGAAAAAAAAAATCCCATATGCTCACAGATTGGAAGAATCAATATCGTGGAAATAGCCATACTGCCTAAAACAATATGCAGATTCAATGCAATTCCTACCAAAATACAATGTCATTTTTCACAGAATTAGAAAAAACAATCCTAAAATTCATATGGAACTAAAAAAACAGCCTGAATAGCCAAAGCAATCCTAAACAAAAAGAAAAAATCTGGAAGCATCACATTATCCAACTTCAAATTATTCTACAAGGCTGTAGTAACAAAAACAGCATGGTGCTAATATAAAAGTAGACACAGACTGATGGAATAGAATAGGAACTCTGAAATAAGAGCAAATCCCTACAACGAACAGATCTTCAACAAAACAGACAAAATCATACACTGGGGAAAGGACTTCCTAGTCAATAAATGATAATGGGAAAATTGGTTAACAAAAGGCAGAAGAATGAAACTGGATTCCTAGTTCTCGCCATATAAAAAATGACCTCAAAAGGGATTAAAGACTTAAATCTAAATCCTGAAGCCATAAAAATTCTAGAAGTTAACATAAGAGAAACTCTTCTGGACATTGGCCTAGGCAAATAATTTATGACTACGACCCCCAAAGCAAATGCAACTAAAACAAAAATAAATAAATGAGACTTAATTAAACTAAAATGCTTTGACACAGCAAGAGAAATAATCAATGGAATAAATAGACAACCTACAGAATGGGAGAAAATACTTGTAAATTTTACATCTGACAAAGGACTAATACCAGCATCTACAAAGAATTCAAACAAATCAGCAAGAAAAAAAATAATCCCAGTACACCTGGGCAAATGATGTGAATAGCCATTTCTCAAAAGAAGATGTGCAAACAGCCAACTAGCATATTAAAAAATTTCAACACTGCTAATCATCAAAGCAAAGCAAGTTAAAACCACAATGTGATATCACCTTACCCCAGCCAGAATGGTCATTATGAAAAAGTCAAAAACAATAGGTGTTGGTGCAGATGAGGTGAAAGTGGAACATATACACTGTTGGTGGGAATGTAAATTGGTACAACCTTTATGAAAAACAGTATGGAGATTTTGCAAAGAACTAAAAGTAGATGTACCATTTGATCCAGCAGTCCCACTACTGAGTATCTACCCAAAACGAATAAGTCATTATACAAAAAAGACACTTGCATTGTGTATGTTTATCACAGTACAATTCACAATTGCAAAGATATGGAATCAACATAAATGCCCATCAAACGATGAATGGGTAAAGAAAATGTGGTATATGTATGTATGAGTAGGTTTGTGTGTGAGTGTGTATGTGTATGTATATATATACACACACATATAGGTGTGTATATATATACATACACATAAACCACATGTATATCATATATTTCATATATGTATACCATATATATACCATGTGTATTGCACGTATGTGTGTGTGTGTGTATATATGTATGAGTAGGGGTGTGTGATGTGTGTGTGTGTTTGTGTATATATATTATATGTATATGTATAGAAGTCCTTGAAGATCCATGTTACCAATCCCCCTTCAAGGAAGATCTTACTCTCCAGGTTGTCAACTTGTGTATAAATATATACTATACACACATACACCATACCACATTTGTATATATACCACATTTGTGTGTGTGTATATATATTTTATATATATACACATACATTTTATATATATACATATATATTATATATATATACATATATTTTATATATATACCTATATATTATATATATAATGTTTTTTTTTCCTGGGACGGCCCTCAGGTTATAGGTGAGGAAACTGAGATCTAGGACCAGAAGGGCCATGTCTGGGGTCACTCATGATAGTGGGTTTACGTGTGCTCTCCAAAAAGATATGTTCAAGTCCTAGCCCTGGCACCTGGAATGTGACCTTGTTCAGAAAAAAGAGTTTGCAGATGTTATCAAATTAAGACATGGCCGTAATGGATTTGGGCAGGCCCTATAAATCCAGTGATGGGTGCCCATTTAGAAAGGAGAGTGGGATTTGGAGAGTGACACAAACACAGGGAAGAAGGCCCTGTGGAGATAGAGGTAGGTGGAGATAGGGTGCTGCTACCCCCAGCCGAGGTAAGCCTCTGGTCACCAGGGGTGGAAGAGGTAGGAAAAGGAGCTTCCCTGGAGTCTCTGCAGGGAGTGTGGCCCTGCCCACACCTTGAATATGACCTTCCAGCCTCCAGAACTGTAAAGGAGTCAATTTCAGTAATGAATATAAGTATTGTTAGAAATAAATTGAACTTTTTGTTGATATTCAGCATTATTTCAACTTTTATTGGATTATGATATATTACATTGTTACTCAAAAATGAGTGATGAATATAAATATAGTAGCTAGTATCTCCTAGCTTAAAATAAGGTAATATCTTTCATAATGTAAACCCCAAGGTCCCATCTGGCCTAGAATAAAATGTTAAGGTGAAGCAAAAACTTGTACTTTACAAAACTTGCTAAGTCAAAATAGTTGGTTATGAGGCCTTTAATATTGATCCAGTAACTCCCTAAAGGCAGTTATTACTTCTAGTTGCTGCACTTTTTTAAAGCATAGCTTAAAACCAGTGTCTGGTGGGAAGACTGAAATAAATTTCTTTCTGAAATCTCCTGAAAAGGGGTAAAACAGAATGCATTACATTGTTATAAACTAGAGATAATGGTAAGGCATCTTGAACATCGAAAAATGTGAAGTATCCAATATGTAATGGACTTCAAACACAGTCATATATTTAAATATAAACTCTCATCAATCATGTATATGAAAAAAATGGACATAGGACACATAAACAAACATTTATTTGAATTATTTTGAGTGAAAAGGTGATTGGGAGTTTATCAACTTCCTGACGGTCTCTTTTACATCTTTGTTCCTAAGGCTGTAGATCAGGGGATTCAGCATAGGGATTATGACTGTAAAAAGTACAGTAGCCACTTTGACCAGGAGCCATGAGCTTTTGGAGTTGGGCACACAGTAAAGGAGCAGGATGACCCCATGGAAAATGGAGACGGTGGTCAGGTGGGAGGCACAGGTGGAGATGGCCTTTTGGGGTCCACCCGTAGAAAGCATCTTGATGACAGTGGCAACTATGAAGACATAGAAGGCAAGGATGGCCAGGAGGCTACAAGCTTCACTGAATATAGAAATGACTAAACACGCCATCTGGTTGAAGTAGGGATCAGAGCAGGATAGAGAAAGAATGGCAGAGTACTCACAGCCAAAGTGATTTATGATGTTAGATCCACAGTAGGATAACACCAAAAGAGAATAAGTGAGTGTCAGGGAACAGAGTCCACCCCATGTGTAAGTTCCAGTTACCAGGAGAGCACAGAGCTTAGGAGACATAGCCACTGTGTAGAGCAGGGGGTTACAAACAGCCATAAACAAGTCATAAGCCATCACCGCTAACATGAACATTTCTGTGATTACAAATGCACAACCAAAGAAAAATTGTACCATGCATCCTTTGAAGGAGATAGTTCTGTCTTCCACAACCAAAATCTCTAACAGTTTGGGTGTAAATACATTGGAATAACAAGTATCCAAAAAGGATAGATGACTGAGGAAAAAGTACATGGTGGTATGGAGCTTAGGATTGATTCTTACAACCACAATTATGCCCAGGTTTCCCACCAGAGCGACAGTGTAGGTGGTCGAGAACACCAGGAAGAGGGGCGCCTGGAGGTGTGGATATTCTGAGAAACCCAACAGGATGAATGTGGTCACAGAGCTCTGGTTTCTCTCTTCTGGTACCAAGGCCCTTCACTAAAAGAGAGAGAGACAGAAAAAGGTGATGGAGACAGAAAGAGAGAAAAATAAAGAAAAATTAAATTAGTTGTAACAACAGAAGTTGAGAAGGTAGGGTAGGAGGAACCCAGAAGAGGCTTGATGTAAAGGAGTGAAGACAAATGTGGTTAGTGTGTTTTCAAGGTCTTCGACTTCACTAAGAGTCTTACTTGATAATTTATAGTCTTTTTGATTAGGGAAAAATAGTTTTGTCTTTCAGCACTTTTGTTCCCTCATCTGGAAAACAAGAAAAAATAGTAATTATCAATATTATTGTACACAAGCTGTATGTAAATTTATATGATACAGCAATGAATTCTCATGGTAAAACATAATTATATGACAACAAAGGAAACATATCAGCAAAATCAAAAAAGCATTGAGCAGATTATAGTAGTCATATGATCGTGGCAAAAGAGTCCTTTGAAAGGATAAACATACATAAAAACATAATAGTAAAATTTGGCTGGGGGGCGTATTGTGTCTTGTCAGATGGTCACAGTTCTGTATTGATACATTACATTTTTACCTGTTCCAAGTTTATCTCATTATGATGGATATATAGAACATCTACTTAAGAGAATCTTTAAGTGGTCTGATTAAAAATTCCACTAATAATATGTTCCCTCAATTATATAGCCATCATATAGTTATTTATCACCATTACTTTCAGTGACAAAAACTACAATTACTTTTGCACCAATCTAATATAAGGCTCAAAACACTCAATGTTATAAAACCGCTTCCTGAGAATGTGCTTTGTAGATATTCTTAAAAGTTTCAATAGATTATCTTCTGTTAGTTATGCAGCCTGTTTGCAGCACATATTGTATGAAACAGAAATTTCTCTATTTTTTAGCAATTATAAACCACAAAATTTATACTACAGTCATACATTGCTCAACAATGAGTATATATTCTAGGAAATGTGCCATTGGGTGATTTCATCTTTGTGTGAACATCATGGAGTATACTTACACAAACCTAGATGGTATAGCCTATTGTAGAGACCTGACAACTTTTACACAATAGTATTTGCATATCTAAACATAGAAAAGGTACAGTAAAATATATGGAATAAAAGATAAAAAATGGTACTTCTGTATAAGGCACTTAATATGAATGAAGCTTGCAGGAGCTACTCTGTAGGAGTCAGGAAGCAGATAGTGGGTGAATATGAAGGCCTAGAATATTATGTACACTACTGTAGAATTTATCAACACTGTACACTTTGGCTATCCAAAATTTATTTTTAAAAATTTCTTTCTCCAATAATAAAATAACCTTTGCCTACTATACCATTTTTACTTTATAAATTCTAGTTTTTTTAATTTGACCTTTTGGTAATAATTCTTACCTTAAAAAATAACACATTGTATAGCTACACAAACATATTTTTATTTATATCCTTGTTTCATTTATTTTATTTTTTTATTTTTAATATTATACTTTAAGTTTTAGGGTACATGTGCACAACGTGCAGGTTTGTAACATATGTATACATGTGCCATGTTGGTGTGCTGCACCCATTAACTCGTCATTTAGCATTAGGTATATCTCCTAATGCTATCCCTCCTTCTTCCCCCTACCCCACAACAGTCCCAACAGTCCCTGGTGTGTGATGTTCCCCTTCCTGTGTCCATGTGTTCTCATTGTTCAATTCCCACCTATGAGCCAGAACATGCAGTGTTTGTTTTATTGTCCTTGTGATAGTTTGCTGAGAAGGATGGTTTCCAGCTTCATCCCTGTCCCTACAAAGGACATGAACTCATCATTTTTTATGGCTGCATAGTATTCCATGGTGTATGTGTGCCACATTTTCTTAATCCAGTCTATCATTGTTGGACATTTGGATTGGTTCCAAATCTATGCTATTGTGAATAGTGCCACAATAAACATACGTGTGCACGTGTCTTTATAGCAGCATGTTTTATAATCCTTTGGGTATATACCCAGTAATGGGACGGCTGGGTCAAATGGTATTTCTAGTTCTAGATCCCTGAGGAGTCGCCACACCAACTTCCAGAATGGTTGAACTAGTTTACATTCCCACCAACAATGTAAAAGTGTTCCTATTTCTCCACATCCTCTCCAGCACCTGTTGCTTCCTGACTTTTTAATGATCACCATTCTAACTGGTGTGAGATGGTACCTCATTGTGGTTTTGATTTGCATTTCTCTGATGGTCAGTGATGATGAGCATTTTTTCATGTGTTTTTTGGCTGCATAAATGTCTTCTTTTGAGAAGTGTCTGTTCATATCCTTCACCAACTTTTTGATGGGGTTGTTTGTTTTTTTCTTGTACATTTGTTTGAGTTCATTGTAGATTCTGGATATTAGCCTTTTGTCAGATGAGTAGACTGCAAAAATTTTCTCCCATTCTGTAGGTTGCCTGTTCACTCTGATGGTGGTTTCTTTTGCTCTGCAGGAACTCTTTACTTTAATTAGATCCCATTTGTCAATTTTGGCTTTTGTTGCCATTGCTTTTGGTGTTTTAGACATGAAGTCCTTGCTTATGCCTATGTCCTGAATGGTATTGCCTAGGTTTTCTTCTAGGGTTTTTATGGTTTTAGGTCTAATATGTAAGTCTTTAATCCATCTTGAATTATTTTTTGTATAAGGTGTAAGGAAGGGATCCAGTTTCAGCTTTCTACATATGGCTAGCCAGTTTTCCCAGCACCATTTATTAAATAGGGAGTCCTTTCCCCATTGCTTGTTTTTGTCAGGTTTGTCAAAGATCAGATAGTTGTAGATATGCAGCATTATTTCTGAGGGCTCTGTTCTGTTCCATTGGTTAATATCTCTGTTGTGGTATCAGTACCATGCTGTTTTGGTTACTGTAGTCTTGTAGCATAGTTTGAAGTCAGATAGTGTGATGCCTCCAGCTTTGTTCTTTTAGCTTAGGATTGACTTGGTGATGCGGGCTCGTTTTTGGTTCCATATGAACTTTAAAGTAGTTTTTTCCAGTTTTGTGAAGAAAGTCATTGGTAGCTTGATGGGGATGGTGTTGAATCTATAAATCACCTTGGGCAGTATGGCCATTTTCACGATATTGATTCTTCCTACCCATGAACATGAAATGTTCTTCCATTTGTTTGTATCCTCTTTTATTTCATTGAGCAGTGCTTTCTAGTTCTCCTTGAAGAGTTCCTTCACATCCCTGGTAAGTTGGATTCCTAGGTATTTTATTCTCTTTGAAGCCATTGTGAATGGGAGTTCACTCATGATTTGGCTCTCTGTTTGTCCGTTGTTGGTGTATAAGAATACTTGTGATTTTTGCACACTGATTTTGTATCCTGAGACTTTGCTGAAGTTGCTTATCAGCTTAAGGAGATTTTGGGCTGAGATGATGGGGTTTGCTAGATATACAATCATGTCATCTGCAAACAGGGACAATTTGACTTCCTCTTTTCCTAATTGAATGCCCTTTATTTCCTTCTCCTGCTTGATTGCCCTGGCCAGAACTTCCAATGCTATGTTGAATAGGAGTGGTGAGAGAGGGCATTCCTGTCTTGTGCCAGTTTTCAAAAGGAATGCTTCCAGTTTTTGTCCATACCCGTATGATATTGGCTGTGGGTTTGTCATAGATAGCTCTTATTATTTTGAGATACGTCCCATCAATACCTAGTTCATTGGCAGATTTTAGCATGAAGGGCTGTTCAATTTTGTCAAAGGCCTTTTCTTCATCTACTACATCATGTGGTTTTTGTTTTTGGTTCTGTTTATATGCTGGATTATGTTTACTGATTTTAGTATGTTGAACCAGCCTTGCATCCCAGGGATGAAGCCCACTTGATCATGGTGGATAAGATTTTTGATGTGTTGCTGGATTCGGTTTGCCAGTATTTTACTGAGGATTTTTGCATCAATGTTCACCAAGGTCTAAAATTCTCTTTTTTTGTTGTGTCTCTGCCAGGCTTTGGTATCAGGATGATGCTGGCCTCATAAAATGAGTTAGGGAGGATTCCCTCTTTTTCTATTGATTGGAATACTTTCAGAGGAATAGCACCAGCTCCTCCTTGTACCTCTGATAGAATTCGGCTGTGAATCCATCTGGTCCTGGACTGTTTTTGATTGGTAAGCTATTAATTATTGCCTCAATTTCAGAGCCTGTTATTGGTCTATTCAGAGATTCAACTTCTTCCTGGTTTAGTCTTAGGAGGGTGTATGTGTCGAGGAATTTATCCATTTCTTCTAGATTTTCTAGTTTATTTGCATAGAGGTGTTTATAGTATTCTCTGATGGTAGTTTGTATTTCTGTGGGATCAGTGGTGATATCTCCTTTGTCATTTTTTATTGCGTCTATTTGATTCTTCTCTCTTTTCTTCTTTATTAGTTTTGTTAGCGGTCTATTAATTTTGTTGGTCTTTTCAAAAAACCAGCTCCTGGATTCATTGATTTTTTGAAGGGTTTTTTGTATCTCTATTTCCTTCAGTTCTGCTCTGATATTAGTTTTTTCTTGCCTTCTGCTATCTTTTGAATGTGTTTGCTCTTGCTTCTCTAGTTCTTTTAATTGTGATGTTAGGGTGTCAATTTTGGATCTTTCCTGCTTTCTCTTGTGGGCATTTAGTGCTATAAATTTCCCTCTACACACTGCTTTGAATGTGTCCCAGAGATACTCATATGTTGTGCCTTTTTTCTTATTGGTTACAAAGAACATCTTTATTTCTGCCTTCATTTCATTAGGTACCCAGTAGTCATTCCAGAGCAGATTGTTCAGTTTCCATGTATTTGAGTGGTTTTGAGTGAGTTTCTTAATCCTGAGTTCTAGTTTGATTGCAATGTGGTCTGAGAAATAGTTTGTTATAATTTCTGTTCTTTTACATTTGCTGAGGAGTGCTTTACTTCCAACTATGTGGTCAATTTTGGAGTAGGTGTGGTGTGGTGCTGAAAAGAATGTATATTCTGTTGATTTGGGGTGGAGAGTTCCATAGATGTCTATTAGGTCCACTTGATGCAGAGCTGAGTTCAATTCCTGGATATCCTTGTTAACTTTCTGTCTCGTTGATCTTTCTAATGTTGACAGTGTGGTGTTAAAGTCTCCCATTATTATTGTGTGGGAGTCTAAGTGTCTTTGTAGGTCACTAAGGACTTGCTTTATGAATCTGGGTGCTCCTTTATTGGGTGCATATGTATTTAGGGTAGTTAGTTCTTCTTGTTGAATTGATCCCTTTACCATTATGTAATGGCCTTCTTTGTCTCTTTTGATCTTTGTTGTTTTGAAGTCTGTTTTGTCCGAGACTAGGATTGCAACCCCTGCCTTTTTTTGTTTTCCATTTGCTTGGTAGATCTTCCTCCATCTTTTTATTCTGAGCCTATATGTGTCTCTGCACGTGAGATGGGTTTCCTGAATACAGCACACTGA
Source organism: Homo sapiens (assembly GCF_000001405.40). Lineage (NCBI taxonomy): Eukaryota > Metazoa > Chordata > Mammalia > Primates > Hominidae > Homo > Homo sapiens. Next base: position 55,749,611 of record NC_000011.10, on the reverse strand, counting down.
TGGGTCTTGACTCTTTATCCAATTTGCCAGTCTGTGCCTTTTAAATGGAGCATTTAGTCCATTTACATTTAAGGTTAATATTGCTATGTGTGAATTTGATCCTGTCATTATGATGTTAGCTGATTATTTTGCTCATTAGTTGATGCAGTTTCTTCTTAGCCTTGATGGTCTTTACAATTTGGCATGTTTTTAAAGTGGCTGTTACAGGTTGTTCCTTTCCATGTTTAGTGCTTCCTTCAGGAGATCTTCTAGGGCAGGCCTGGTGGTGACAAAATCTCTCAGCATTTGCTTGTCTGTAAAAGATTTTATTTCTCCTTCACTTATGAAGCTTAGTTTGGCTGGATATGAAATTCTGGGTTGAAAATTCTTTTCTTTAAGAATGTTGAATATTGGTCCTCACTCTCTTCTGGCTTGTAGAGTTTATGCCAAGAGATCAGCTGTTAGTGTGATGGGCTTCTCTTTGTGGGTAACCTGACCTTTCTCTTTGGCTGCTCTTAACATTTTTTCCTTCATTTCAACTTTGGTGAATCTGACAATTATGTGTCTTGGAGTTGCTCTTCTCAAGGAGTATCTTTGTGGCATTCTCTAGATTGGGGAACTTCTCCTGGATAACACCCTGCAGAGTGTTTTCCAACTCGGTTCCATTCTCCCCGTCACTTTCAGGTACACCAATCAGACGTAGATTTGGTCTTTTCACATAGTCCCATATTTCTTGGAGGCTTTGCTCATTTCTTTTTATTCTTTTTTCTCTAAACTTCTCTTCATGCTTCATTTCATTCATTTCGTCTTACATCGCTGGTACCCTTTCTTCCAGTTGATCACATCGGTTACTGAGGCTTGTGCATTCCTCACGTAGTTCTCGTGCCATGGTTTTCAGCTCCATCAGATCCTTTAAGGACTTCTCTGCATTGGTTATTCTAGTTATCCATTCATCTAATTTTTTTTCCAAGTTTTAAACTTCTTTGCTGTTGGTTCAAACTTCCTCCTTTAGCTCGGAGTCATTTGATCTCTGAAGCCTTCCTCTCTCAATTTGTCAAAGTCATTCTCCATCCAGCTTTGTTCCATTGCTGGTGAGCACCTGCATTCCTTTGGAGGAGGAGAGGCAGTCTGATTTTTAGAGCTTCCAGTTTTTCTGCTCTGTTTTTTCCCCATTTTGTGATTTTATCTACCTTTGGTCTTTGATGATGGTGACATACAGATGGGTTTTTGGTGTGGATGTCCTTTCTGTTTGTTAGTTTTCCTTCTAACAGTCAGGACCCTCAGCTGCAGGTCTGTTGCAGTTTACTGGAAGTCCACTCCAGACCCTTTTTGCCTGGGTATCAGCAGCAGTGGCTGCAGAACAGCAGATATTGGTGAACCACAAATGCTGCTGCCTGATCGTTCTTCTGGAAGTTTTGTCTCAGAGGAGTACCCGGCCATGTGAGGTGTCTGTCCGCCCCTTCTTGCGGGTGCCTCCCAGTTAGGCTACTCGGGGGTCAGGGACCCACTTGAGGAGGCAGTCTGCCCGTTCTCAGATCTCAAGCTGTGTGCTGGGAGAACCACTACTCTCTTCAAAGCTGTCAGACAGGGACATTTAAGTCTGCAGAGGTTATTGCTATCTTTTATTTGTCTGTGCCCTGCCCCCAGAGGTGGAGGCTACAGAGGCAGGCAGGCCTCCTTGAGCTGTGGTGGGCTCCACTCAGTTGGAGCTTCCCAGCCACTTTGTTTACCTACTCAAGCCTGAGCAATGGTGGGCGCCCCTCCCCCAGCCTCGCTGCCACCTTGCAGTTTGATCTCAGACTGCTGTGCTAGGAATGAGCGAGGCTCCGTGAGCGTAGGACCTTCCAAGCCACGTGCGGGATATAATCTCCTGGTGTGCCATTTTTTAAGCCCATTGGAAAAGCGCAGTATTGGGGTGGGTGTGACCCAATTTTCCAGGTGCCGTCTGTCACCCTTTTCTTTGACTAGGAAAGGGAATTCCCGGACCTCTTGCACTTCCCAGGTGAGGCAATGTGTCAGCCTGCTTCACCTCATGCACTGCACCCACTGTCCTGCACCCACTGTCCGGCACTCCCCAGTGAGATGAATCCGGTACCTCAGTTGGAAATGCAGAAATCACCCGTCTTCTGCGTCACTCACGCTGGGAGCTGTAGACTGGAGCTGTTCCTATTCATCCATCTTGAGATCTCTATATCCTTGTTTTATAAGACGCTTTCTGCTTTTGTTTTTTTTTTCTACTTTTGAGCTGTTTTGTTAAAAACTAATATATAAGTGCATACTTTAGCCTAGGCCTACATAGAGTCAGGTTCATCAATATCACTGTCTTCCACCTCCACATCATGTCCCACTAGAAGGCCTTCCAGGGTAGAAACATATATGGATATGTCATCTCCTAAGATAACAATGTCTCCTTCTAGAATACCTCTTGAAGGATGTGTCTGTTTTACAGTTAACATTTTTTAATACATGGAAGGAGTACACTCCAAAATGATGATAAAAGTATATATTATTAAATTCATAAACTAGTTCATGATCCTTTAGTGTCAGTATCAAGTATTTGGTACTGAATATAATTGCATATGCTGAGGTTTTATATGACTGGCAGCACGGAAAGTTTGTTTACACCAGCATCACCAAAAACATTTGAGTAATGCATTACACTACCACTTTATGATGCTAGGATGTCACTAGGTGATAGGAATTTTTTGGCACTATTATAATATTGTGGGCTCACCATCATATAAGCAGTCCATATTTGCCTGAAACATCATTATCTAGCTTATGGCTGTACTAAAAAAAAGTAAATATACCTTACAACATCCAAACATTTTTTCTTGATATGGTGACAAACTTAGATGTGGTAGTCAATGAGGAATGACAGAATATGTGTGATTGAAAAATATAAACATTTTGTTTATGTAAAGCAATAGTCATCCTCACATTATAAATTTCACATGGTTAACCCTAAAAAACAAACAATAAAAACCACAAACTCATTCTGTAAATGTATTTGGAGACCCAATAGATAAGATGTTGCCTTCTTGGACACATCTGTGAACTGCCACAACTTCTGGTCTTGTTTGTAACAAATGACAACTTACTATCAAATCTATCATAACTAATCCCAGGCACAGAGAATCTGTTATAGGATCACTTTCTGTTACATAGGAGATTGGATGGACCTTCTGTGAATTTCATGCATTTAGTCACAGGCTTTGATTAAAAAGGCTTGTTTTTACATTCAGGAACTTGGATTACTTTAGTTACGTCACAACTACACAAGTTAAGAATTTTGAGATACAATATTTTATTACTACAAGACAGCTAGATTAAGCCATTTTATCACTAAAGGTTCTAGAACTTGCATTGAAGAAATAATCCTTGGAATGTTTAGATCATACTCTGTCTAGTGGAAACTAAGTGTCCTTTCTGAAAGATTCTAAACCAAGAGAAGACAAAGCTTGGCAAGAAGAAAAAAAGAGCATTTCTGAATATTTTCCCATGCCTTCTCTTCAGTCCTCATTAGTAATATTTTTAGTGCTTCTTTCTTGCATTAAAGTACATTCCCTCACATTTTCTCATCTGTTTGAATTTTATTTAATAAACATATAGCATTTGCTTATGCAAGGAACTGTTATGAGCTTTGAACATATTAACATACTTAATCCTTATGTCAATGTTATCAATTTGACATTATTATAATTCCAATATGTACAGATGAGAAAACTGAGATGTAGAAAGGTTAATTCTTGCACCTGTTTTTATCAGAACCTAGTTATATCTTGCTTGTATTAATATTACAATTGTCAACTGATTTTCTAACCCCCAATTTTTCTCCCTGTAGTCCCTATTCTTAACTGATTCCAGAATCATTTTTCTGTACATATTTACTTATTAATTTCTCTTCTTAAAAAACTACAATGGCTCCAGATTTCTTGCCATGTTATTATGATTAAAAATAAGCAATAGTATTTTAGCAACAATAGCTATTTTTTTCTTTTGTCTGTGTATAAAGCCATACATCAAGTACTATATATGTATTATCTTTTATTCATTTTTCCTCATGTATACTGATCTCTCTTCAAACCCTGTCAGTGAAACTTATTATGAAAGTAAACATCTTAGTAGTTCTATGTTTGAAAATTCACTATACTGATATTTTTCTATTGCATTTTTGGGTACTTTTCTAATGCAAATGGATCAAACTTTATGTCTGGAATTCACAGAAATTAAGACTCAACCCTTTCACATTATAGTCCTTTAAATATTTAAGGACATTTTACGTGGCTCTCTTTTCCTCTCTAGTTAAACAATTTTAGTGTTTTTTGTTTGTTTGTTTGTTTGTTTGTTTTGTGGGGCTCAGGGGTGAGGGCATTTGTGGTTTTTCATTTTCCTCCTCACCCTGGTTACTAAATATGCCAGAAAACCTACTCAATATTCTAAGTATACCATTGATTATCTGAGCTGATATTGACACTGAGAAGTAAACCTCATTTTCCCAAGAGTATGCTGCCATGCCAAGAGGCAATGAACTCAGCAATCTTCTTTTATTTGCCACGTATCTAATAACGGTGCCTAACTGAGAAGTTGTTAAATAATTGAACTGCCTTAGGTCACTTTATTGCCATGCCAAGCTTTGTCCTCAGTTATTACTGGTAAGCTGCACCTCCATGCTTGTGCACTTAAAATTTTCTGACAGATTTTAGGACTGTGCATTTATTATTATATTTCATGCACTGTTTAACTCTTTTCTTGCTTCCCTTCACTGTTTGTTCAATCCTTTGTTGTAATTGCATCAGTACTTAACCACAGATACTTGCCTTAATTAGGCCACTCTCTCTATCTGGAATTCCTTCACTGTTTCTTCAGGTTCAATTAATATTACTATTCTTCAGTCTGTTCCATCTTTATAGGCCCTATTGCAATTTGGGCAATTCATTAAATCTCTATCAAACATTCTTTCATCTCAACTCCTGGAGAATATATATGTTGTGCTCAACAGGAACTTATGTTAAATAATTATAGGAAGCTTTAAAACCTAGAAGAGTTCACAATCACCTAAAATAAATGCAACACTTCCTCGCCCATCTCACAATTATCTTGAAAGCCAGGTCCATATTGTATATTTATTAGTTCACAGACAAAACAGACACTGAAAAGTGCATAATAAAGACTATAATTGTTAAGATAATATTATAGCCATAATGTTATCAAAGTAGTAATGGTATTGCTTTGAATTAATTACACTGGATACATGGGAGGATTCCCAGGATTGAATGAATAAATTATATCCTTGTTCTTAGCAAAGCAAACAATAAAATTCCCACTGTACTGTCTAATCAGAAACTCTAATCTCAACGGTTATTTTCTTTATTGAGGGAAGCTGATCTAAATTTATGGAGAAAATGGTAGCATCACATCATGCTATCTTGTAGAGAATATGGGCTTAGGAAAGGGAACCCGCTACTTCAGATTCAGCCTTCTACTTATGACATATGTAACTTTAGCAAAATGTTTAATAATATGAGCCTTAACTTCATCATGTATGAAATGTCGATAACAACATGGTAGGTCCTTTAATCTTTAGCACGGAACTCTCTAATAGGGTATGACTTTAAAATATCTGGCTACAAATCTATACTTTGGTAAAGCCTTGACAGATAACAGCTCATTTACACTTTAATTTTTGAGTGTGTAAACCTCCCAGAAAAATGGCATCAGTTTGAAGTTTTGAAAATGTCTTTGCAGTGCAAATTTAAAAAGATATTTTTCAAAGAGTGTTATATCCTGGAATCCCTTAATTTTAGAGTTTTCACTCAATCTTGGATTCAAAATTATATCTGTTTCTCAATCCGCAAACGTAGCATTTTCATTTTACCATTGCATTCCTGTGTGGTTCTTGCTGATTCTTTTTTTGCCTACTCAGGTTTGTGGCTTTGGGACAGACAATTAGGGAAATGTTAAAATAAAGAGAGAGAGAAAAAAAAATCTTCAAAATGTCCCTCTTGCTCAATTTCCACTGTCATCAACTACTCATCTAGAGACAAGATTTCCAATTATCCTATCAAACTGTAGTCAAATCTGTAAGATTAACATTTTTCAACTCCCTCTTTGCCTGGAATACAATAATGTAAGTGTTTTTTAATATAGTTTATACAAATGTATCAAATTGAACCTTTTTGGCCTAGTTTCTATAATATCCCCAAGAACTATATAACCAAATCATCTAGTCACCATAATATTGTTTATTTATAGCACTATTTTAAATCTTTATTTTAGAAAACAAGTCATTTATAACTTCTAGTCTACTGTCTATCCTTCTGAAATGCCACCTTTCTCCTTCATGTTTTACATTGTGTCATTATTTCAGAAATCATTTGCATAATTCTTCCAAGAAAGCCTTGAAGTTAATCAAAATGTCTTTTTCCTTGAAGTTAATCAAAATGTCTTTTTCTCTTCTTTTATTTTCTCTCCATCCATACCATAACAATATTTATATGGCGGATGGAATATTTTTCTAATATGTGTGTGTGTGGCCCTTTCAGCTTTTTCTCTGAAGAATATCTCTTCTTTAAGACAAGACTTACATTCAACCTCTCTTATATAACCTCTGAAGTACCTACCATACAGGTAGAGATTTTATATTTTCAAATTCAGGGCAATGGTCCTAGAAGTAATAAAAATAAAATTTAGTCTGTTGAATATAAACCATGAACTAAGTAGATGTTGCTGTTATTCAACTCACATGGATTTTCTCCCCTGCCACAAATGTGCCAGATTCCAGTATTACTCATGTGAAAGTGAAGAAATGACTCTACAGTGAGCCAACTCACCAGAAGCCGGATTTTCCTGATACACCTTTTGTTGAAGGTGTTCTTCCTAGTATTAAGGAGCTTCACACACTTTCTCTCTCAAAAAGGAAATTTTGTTTAAAGTTTTCTAGTCCTTCAATCAGTCAGTTGGTAATTCTTACAAAATATGATTCAATGAAGTACTGAAATGGCATTTTTCCAACTGTCAAGAAGTCGAAAGGAGCAGAGAGATGCTTCTGAGGAAGGGACAGACCTTGAGACCACATTCTGTGATCGTTTTGTTTGTTTTACATCTAACTGCTTGACTTCAGGGACACAGACCCTGGAGAATCCTGACAGTTCATTGTCATGAGATATAAACAAAATAATTAGAGAAAACTTTCTCTTCTGTAACTTAGAATATAATTTCTTCTGAGTTGCTAAGTGTTGGTCATGTCTTAAAAAATAATATACATCTATATAGAGGCTGTACTGAAAAACTTGAAAAAATAAAAATAAAACAAAAAACACAACCATGACTATTCTAATAACCCCTATGTAATTAGAGCTGATATGCTTTTAAAATATTTTTCTGTTGCTTTATGTGTATGCATTTATTTATACACAAACATTTTTAACATTACATTGTACATATTTTTACATTCAATTATGTTGGCTTATTGTTATAGTCTAAACATGCCTTGAGCTAGTGTTTCAAAGAATAGGGATATGTTAGGTATCAGAATTGCACTGTATATCCACCTATAGTTTTCAGCATAACCATATAAGTCATAGTACTGATATTTTAAATCCATGTAATGTAATTTCTGAATCTATTCCTATAGGGCACAAATCAGAGAAGAAAAAAAATGGTGTCAAATATTGACCCAATAATATACCACCTCATTGGTTACTGACCATGAAGTCTTGAGACATGCACACGTGTAGTGGCATTTGGAAACAGAAATTACAACTATTCAAAAGGTTTGGAAATTCTGATGCAGCTAGTATTGAAAAATTTAGACAAATTGATAGGCTAAATTTAAGCAGCTAGTTATGGTTTATATTTATATTATGAGCTATTTTTAATAGGCCATGGGCAGCAAAAATTAAATATCTGCTTGGAAATTTCTAAGACCGACCTCCATCAATACATTTTACCTGATATTCCAGTTGAAGTCAAGTCAGGGATTAAATCAATGAAAAGAATTTTAGAATCTAAGCCAAGGATTACTTTAAAATATTATCACTCAGAAACAGAAGTTTTTTTTTCACTTTTCTGTTTTATAGACATCTTAGTGTATAAGCCAAAACTAAAAAAGTAAAGACAAGCAAAATATAGATCTAATACACAATCCAGCAATCCACTACTGGGTATCTAGCCAAAGAAAAAGAAATCAGTATATCAAAGGTATACCTGCACTTGCATGTCTATTGCAGCATTATTCACAATAGCCAAGATATGGAATTAACCTGTATCCATCAATGAATGAATGGATAAAGAAAATGTGGTATAAACACCCAGTGGAATATTATTCAGTCACAGAAGGAATGAAATTCTGTCATTTGCGGTTATGTAGTTTGGATGTTTCTCCTCTCCAAATTCCATGTAGAAATGTGATTTCCAATGTTGGAGGTGAGGCCTAGTGGTAGATGTTTGGGTCATGAGGATGGATTCCTCATGAATGGCTTGGTGCCCTTGATCCATTAGTTCATTCAAGAGCTGCTGGTTCATGTGAGGGTCTGGGACCTCCCTCCTCTCTGCCTTGCTCTCTTTCTTTCCATGACACATCTGCTACCCCTTTGACTTCCACCATGTTTGTGAGCTTCCTAAGACCCTAACCAGAAGCAGGTGCCGATGCCATGCTTCTTGTATAGCCTGCAGAACTGTAAGCCAAATAACCCCTTTCTCTTTATAAATTGTCCAACATCACAATTTCCTTTATAACAGAACAAAAACGGATTAACACATGCAACAATGTAGATGGAACTGGAGGTCATTAAGTTAAGGGAAATTTGCCAGGCACAGAAAACCAAATATTACATGCTCTCACTCATATGTAGGACATAAAAAGTCAATCTCATGGACATAGAAAATAGAATAAATGTTATCAGAGGCTGAAAAGGGTAGTGGGGAGAGTGGTGTATAAACAGGTGTTGATTAATGATCAAAGATTAATTATATCTAACCAAAATACAGTTAGATAGAAGGAATAAGATCTAGTAGTAGTCCATACACAATAGGGCAACTGTAGTTAACTATAATCTATTGTATATTTCAAAATAACTAGAAAAGTGAAATTGGAACATTCTTAAAAGAAGAAATGACCAGTGCTTGATGTGATGAATATCTCAATTACCCTGATTTAATCATTATGCATGGTATCCTTGTATCAAAACTTCACATGTACCCCATATACATGTACAACTATTATGTAGCCATAAAAATTAAAAATAAATAAATGAATAAGACAATGAAAACCCATGTTGGCACAAGCATATTTGTGCAACAAGTTTTAATTTTAAAAGTATTGATTATGTGTATTATTATCTTGCAATTCTAAATTCCAATGCTACAAACTTTGTTCAGAGTTGCATGCAGGTTTTGGTTAAGGAATGATCTGTGCACATAATACTAACTTTTTTTAATCTTCCAATGTGTGGTTTCATTACAGCTTTAAGTCATTATTTTCGTAAGTTCTGAACATGTTTTTAAAAACAGAAACCAAGGCTGTGGCTATATCAATAGAGGCGTGAGAAATTGCTTTATATAAACAAATTGCTTAAATAGAGATCTGAATTATGGATGACATGTCACCTTCTTGGGCTAAAAAAAGAAATATTTCAATAAATTTCTGCCAATTCAAAGTTAAAGATTTATTTAAAAGAAAGGTGCCAAACTCTTCTCAGTCAGGTAATCAATGAGAGAATAGATTTACTGATATAATTTGTTATTTTTGTTACCAAAATAAGTATAGTAAGAGAAAATTTTTTAAAAATGAACTAGTTAAACTATAGGTAATTTTTTTTTTCAGAAGAAAAGTTGAGATCCAAGAGGCCAGGCAAGAGAGATATTAAAAGAAAGAGTCTATAGTCCCAATCCAATTGCTATTTAAGAAACAGTCATAAAAATATTTTTTCTTTTGAGAAGTGTCTGATCACAACCTTCACCCACTTTTTGATGGGTTTTTTTTTTCTTGGAAATTTGTTTCAGTTCCTTATAGATTCTGGATATTAGCCCTTTGCAAGAAGGGTAGATTGCAAAAATTTTCTATTCTGTAGGTTGCCTGTTCACTCTGATTATAATAGTTTCTTTTGCTGTGCAGAAGCTCTTTAGTCTAATTAGATCCCATTTGTCAATTTTGGCTTTTGTTGTCATTGCTTTTGGTGTTTTAGACATGAAGTTTTTGCCCATGCCTATGCCCTGAATGGTCTTGCCCAGGTTTTCTCCTAGGATTTTTATGGTCCCAGGTCTTACATTTAAGTCTTCGATCCATCTTGAGTTAATTTTTACACAAGATGTAAGGAAGGGGTCCAGTTTCAGTTTTTGCATATAGCTAGCCAGTTTTCCCAACACCATTTATTAAATAGGGAATCTTTTCCCCATTGCTTGTGTGTATCAGTTTTGTCACATATCAGATGGTTGTGTAACAAAACTGCATGTTCTGCACATGTAACCCAGAACTTAAAGTATAATAAAAAAATTTTCCAAGTGGGAGAAATTATTTTATTTTTCTAAGATATAAAAGTTAACAGTATCCTAAAAGACCCTGATAGAAAATAAAGGGAAAATATAAAAGTAAACTGGAATAACAAATCCAGGGGAATTCAGGCCTAAGAAGTGTCTGAGCAATGTCTTTTTCTTAAACTTTTAGATAAATTTTCCATGACAATAATAATAATTAGTAATAATATAATGTTACTTCAAATACCTCCAAACAATGATATATTAAAACACTAAAGGCATTTGATTATATAAACACTCATAAGAACTATTTCTTTTAAAATTTAATATCAAAGCATGTAAAAACTTCCTTAGCAAATAAAATTATATGTTTCTTAATTTCATAAAGGAGCTTCAAATAACTACAGGACAAACAGGCTTAATATTAAAACGTAAGATATTACTTTTGAAATCATAAATATTTACAGCTTTCTTTATTTTGTCAATCATTGTACTGTAACTTTTAACCACTAAAGTTGTGTAATAATGCATATAAACAAGGATCAATTACAGATAGATCAATAGATAGACAGATAAAACAAAAAAGGTCATCATTTTCATAAGATGACATTTCACAGATAATAATACATAGTAATGTAGAGATAACATGGATAAGGGAAAAAAAATGAATGAGAGTTTTGTAATGTTTCTGAATTCAAAACAAATATATTAAAATCAACTGTATGTCTTTATAAAAGCAGCAAACTAGAATGAAATATTTAAGAATAGACTACTTATGATAGCATCAAATATTCAATACCTAGGGGTAGGTCAGTAACTCTAAAGATAAGTGTATCAAAATATATTAAGAGGATTTAATGCAAACCTACATAGAATTGTATTAAGTTCAAAGACTGGAAAAATATATATCTATTCTCTCAAAATAAACTTCATTCTGTCCAATAAAAATACCACTCTGGTATTTTTGTCATCATCGTCTTCATTATCATTATCATCATTGTCATTTACTTTGGAGAGTGACAAGAACATCCTCAAATTTTTCTGAAAGTGTGAAAGGCCAAGAATAGTAAGTACCTAGAGCAAAAAAAAAAAAAAATTCCCTGAGGCTTTTTTCAACAGAATGTCAAGACTAGTTTTACTATATGGTAATTAATGCAGTGTGGTAATATTGTAGAAACAGATGAACACACAGTAGAAGATAATAAAATGTTCAGAAACAGACTAAGTTATCAAGAGGTACTTCAATATGGCAGGTATTACACTACAGATACATGGAGAAAGAACATGCCTCTGGATGTATGGAGGTAAAATAACTGCATATCCATATCACACGATATAGCAAAACAGATAGCATCTGAATTACCAACATCACAAAAGTGAACACACACACAATTTTAACCACATATAAAATCAATCCATTGACTTCCTTAAAGAACTTTTAATTATAAAAAGATATAAAACATTGGTTTATGTTGAATAGCCCCCTTTACTTCCAATCACTCGCCATTCACCAATTGGCCTAGAACAAAGCCTACCTATCTCAGAGTTGTGTGTGCATGTGTGTGTGTGTGTGTGTTTGTGTGACACACACAAAGGTGAGTATCTCACTTCAAAATTCCAAGTTCTGTATCATCAAGTTATTGCTACATATGCAAATTATAATACCCCAGCACAATAAAGCATTGAGCATACATTTCTTGCTCACACAACAGTGGATCAGCTGATGTGGCTTTGTTACACACTGCAGCTGAGGAGTTACTGAGGGTAGTCCTGATCCTCATGTTTCTCTTTCTTCTGAGACTAGCAGGCTACCTGGGCATGGTCTTCTTACAGTTATGGTATAAACACAAGAGGGAACACAAAAAGACACATGAATATTGTAGGTATTACTAATATAAGGTATAATAGCAATCCCAGTTGAAATGAGAAATTTATTTCTCCAATGGAATAGTCAGAGAGAG